>NT_187383.1:297134-446171 GCF_000001405.40 Homo sapiens | reverse complement strand
GAATTCCAGACTCTCAGAGGAAAAGCAGCTGTTCAGAGTAAACCACATTGTTTGTATAAACAGTTTAGGCACAGTGAGCCACTCTTCTCAGTGAGAGAATTGGAACTTGGAACTGGAAAACTCTAGCCTAGCATGTGGGTCTTTCTTTTCTTTCTTTCTTTCTCTTTCTTTCTTTCTTTCTTTCTTTCTTTCTTTCTTTCTTTCTTTCTTTCTTCCTTTTTCTTTCTTTCTTCTTTCTTTCTCTCTCTCTTTCTTTCTTTCTCTCTCTCTTTCTTTGTTTCTTTCTCTCTTTCTTTCTTTCTCTCTCTTTCTTTCTTTCTTTCTTTCTTTCTTTCTTTCTTTCTTTCTTTCTTTCACTTTGAGTTCCAGGATACATGTGCAGAACATTCAGGTTTGTTACACAGGTATACATGTGCCATGGTGGTTTGCTGCACCTATTGACCCTCAGGATCTCTCACTTAAATTTTTGTCTTGTCTTCCACTTCCCCAGTTGAAACTGCAACCTCAGACTAGCAAATCTGCAATTCTCTCTGTTCATTCCCAAACCACTCTGCTATATTTAACTGGCAAAACCATTGATTTCTTCCCTCTGCTCCATACCAAATCCACCCGTGCCCCCAGCCCTAACAGGAAAGCTGCTGGGTTTTACATCCAGCTTCAAACTGGTAAAACTACAGTTTTCCCCAACTGAGCTTGGGGGTGAGAAGAGAGATGGGAGTGTATTAGTCTGTTTTCATTCTGCTAATAAAGACATACCCAAGACTGGGAAGAAAAAGAGGCTTAATTGGACTTATAGTTCCAGGTGGCTGAGGAGACCTCAGAATCATGGCAGGAGGTGAAAGGCACTTCTTACATGGTGGTGGCAAGAGAAAATGAGGAAGATGCAAAAGCGGAAACCCCTGATAAAGCCATCAGATCTTGTGAGACTTATTCACTACCACGAGAACAGTATGGGGGGGAACCACCCCCATGATTCAATTATCTCCCACGAGGTCCCTCCCACAACACATAGGAATTATGGGAGTACAATTCAAGATGAGATTTGGATGGGGACACAAAGCCAAACTATATCAGGGAGAAACCCCCGTCAGGAAGGGCTCAGACTTTTACCAATCCTACCCAAAACCCTAACACTTTTTTCAAGAATAAATGCTTCTTAAATTTGATAACTGCCTTTGATGAGTTTTCAGGGTCCTGAAATTATTGTTTTTGGTATTTCTGCAATTTTTGGGGGGAGTTTTGGTGTGGAAATAAATTGCCAACCTTTTCATGTCACCTCCCAACCTTATCTTTATATCCTCTGATTAACAATTTTCATTAGTAATGTGTTACACAACAAATACTTGTTTAGACTAACCTACATTTTACCAATTTCTTTGCACATTGTTCCGTCTTTTCTGGTTCTATGTCATATTTCTAAAGCATATCTTTCAGTAGATTTTTCCCTGGTAAAAAATGGCATATGTTCTTAAATGTATTTGTTTGACAATATCTTTCATTTGTCTTTTGTTCGAGTGACAGTTAACTGGCTACAGAATTCAACACTGAATGTTTTATTTATCTCTGTACTTTGAAGACTTTATTTAATTATCTTCCATCTTCTATTGTTGCTGATAAGAATTGAGAATCTGCTCTATTGTTTATTCAATTATGATTAATCTCTCTTTCTCTGTCTAGATTATTTAAGATTTTATTTTTGCCTTTGGTAGTCTATAGTTTCTCAACATTTTATCTAAGTATCTATTTTTACTTAATCATGATTAGAACTCATTTGACTTCCTGTGTCCAAATCAATAAAAACCCTAATCAATTCTGTAAAATTTGAAGCCAGTTTTCTTCTCAAATATTATATCTTCTTCATTCTTTCAATGGATGTTTCTGAAACTACCATTAGTTGTGTTTTAGATCTTTTCCATAATCTAAATCTCTCATTTTCCACCTCGTTTTTTTTTTGTGTGTGCTATGCTCTTAAATAATTTCCTCATATCTACTACTTTGCTGTGTTCTCTCTTCAGCTTTGCCTAGATTGCTATTTGGGTACTTAGTGGGTTTTTTTCAGTTGAGTAAATTTTAAAGTTTTTTCTAGATGTTCTATTTAATTATTTTACAATACTTTCAAGTAATTTCTTCTTCTCATGTCTCCAATTTTTAAAAATTTTCTCTAGTCCCTTTGAAAATACATATTTTATAGTGTCTATCTAGTGGTTCTATTAGCTGAGGTTTTTAGACATCTAATCCCATTCTTTATTGTATCTGTTAACTTTTGCTCATGGGATATTTCTTCTTATTTTAAGTTCAGATTCACTTGGCTTTACCTTTGAGACTTTATGCAGTCTGGGATCAGGTGTGTCTATTAGAGATTTTTTGAATTAGCATCTACTAAGTTTTCTAGGGATACTTCAATGCAGGGACACTTTTATGGTAGGTTTAGAACTTTGGGATCCCTAACCTGTGCACGTAATGTAATTTGAGCCCTACGCATAAGTTGGATGAGGCCAGTTTTACATATGAATTCTCAAAAAAGACTTTGCCACCCAGAGACCAGCTAAGACAAACTGCCTTGTCTTCTCAATTTGTCAGTAGGATGACATTTTCTGGTCTGTGTTTTTTATTTTTGTTTTTTGTTTTGTTTTGTTTTCTTGAGATGGAGTTTTGCTCTTGTTACCCAGGCTGGAGTGAAGTGGCGCCATCTCAGCTCACTGCAATGTCCGCCTCCTGGGTTCAAGCAATTCTCCTACCTCAGCCTCCCAAGTAGCTGGGATTACAGGCATGCACCAACAGGCCAGGCTAATTGTCTGTATTTTTAATAGAGACGGCGTTTCACCGTGTTGGTCAGGCTCATCTTGAATTCCTGACCTCAGGTGATCCACCCGCCTCGGCCTCCCAAAGTCCCGGGATTACAGGCACGAGCCACCATGCCCAGCCTGGTCCATTATTTTAGTAAGAGTTTAGCCCTCCAAGGCTTCCAGTTTTGCAGGATGACAATAATCAGAGGGGAGGAGGAAAAAAACTTTGTTCTAACTTTCTGCCTGGAGTGAGTCAAAATCCTCCTCTTCTACCCTGGCAAATTCTATACAGCCAGAAAGGGTTCATAGCTAAAAAGTTCATGTAAGCTGTTTTAAGAATATTAAAAGCTCCTGGCTAACATGGTGAAACCCAGTCTCTACTAAAAATACAAAAAATTAGCCGGGCGCGGTGGCGGGCGCCTGTAGTCCCAGCTACTCGGGAGGCTGAGGCAGGAGAATGGCGTGAACCCGGGAGGCAGAGCTTGCAGTGAGCCGAGATTGCGCCACTGCACTCCAGCCTGGGCGACAGAGCGAGACTCCGTCTCAAAAAAAAAAAAAAAAAAAAAAAAAAAGAATATTAAAAGCATTAGCAATTATGATTCATAGCAAATAAAGGTAGCCATTTAATTAGCAAATGGAAATTTACCATGTTATTGTCTGTCCTTTACAGAAACCTGTGGATTCCTCAGTGAGTAGCACCTAGTTGTCAGAAACAAGATGTCTAGTAACTTATACCTACTCATCTTAATCTACCTCTACCTCCTACACATAATCTAAGATACTTTATATTTATTCCCACAAAATCTAGGTACATTTCTTCCAGCCATTTCCTCCTATAATACATTTATGCCAAATATCAGTTGAATTATCCTTTCAATAAAAAGATTTAGCAGGTTCCTGTTAAAAGATTTGGCACCTTGACACTGTGATCTTCAATAAGGTTGTGAATTCTTATCACAGCCAATCATCCTCTTATTTTCCATCCTGATGAAAAAGCTATTTTAAAATATAAAATGAAGTAAATCTCATCATATTGCCATGATGTTTTTAACTATCATATATTATAAGTTAGCATTTTCAAGAGTTCACATATAGGTTTTTTTTTTAATTTTTTTTATTTTTTTATTGAGACTGAGTCTCACTCTGTCACCCAGGCTGGAGTGCAGTGGCACAATCTTGGCTCACTGCAACCTCCACCTCCTGGGTTCAAGCAATTCTCCTGACTCAGCCTCCCATATAGCTGGGATTACAGGCACGCACCACCACGCCTGGCTAATTTTTGCGTTTTTAGTAGAGACGGGATTTCACTGTGTTGGCCAGGCTGGTCTCAAACTCCTGACCTCATGTGATCCAGCCCACCTCAGCCTCCCAAAGTGCTGGGATTAAGGCGTGAGCCACTGCACCTGGCCCACATATAGTTTTTAAATATTTTTAAAGTGAAAACACTTTGTTTAAAACCTACTTCATAAATTGACAGGTTATTTGGAATATATGTTAAGCAGATATCTCTTTCACCAAACTAGTAAGCAATGTTGATCTATACCATGTATCATTTTATAGAACTGGCTATTAGTATATATGATAAAAGAGAATTGATCATTTGTTTGTATACATCTATGTGTATGTAGATATATAGCTGTACACTTTTTTGTATTTTAGGAGTTACACTGTTTGTGATATGGTGTATGACCTGGTCAATCTTAGGCTCTGAAGCTCTCCCTAGTGGAAATTTATTTGGATTGTTAATTATTTTTTATAGTGCCATTATTGGGGGAAAAATTTTACAACTCATTAGAATACCTTTAGTGCCTCCATTTCCACCTCTTCTTGGTAAGTATATAATTAGCTCTCTTTTCTTTATTATTGACTATATGCAAATTTTGAACATTTTCTTGTTGAATTAGTTATAATTCAGAAATATTTCAATGTAGTATGTTTTATATAGTTTCTTCATGTGTGTATTTGCTGTATGTGTGTGTGTGTGTGTGTATAGCTCTTTTATAGGGGCATTTATTTCTCTCTCTGTCTACATATATACACACACAAGTTTTATCCAAAATTTATTTTTAAAATAAATTTAATATCCTTAGTACATTATTCCTGTTGCTTTATTGTTTAATAGAATCTTTAAAAATTTTAGATTCACGGAGTACATGTGCAGGTTTGGTACATGGATATATTGCATAATGGTGAGATTTGGGCTCTAGTGAACCCATCATCAAACAGTGAATACTATACCCAATAGGAAATTTTTCAACCTTAACTCTCCAACCCTCTCTCCTTTTGGACTCCCCAGTGTCTATTATTTCCATCTTTATGTCCATATGTACCCATTGTTTAGCTACCACATATAAGTGAGAACATGTGGTATTTGAGTTTTCTGTTTCTGAGTTATTTCACTTAGGATAATGGTGTTCAGCTCTATCCATGTTGCTACAAAGGACATGATGCCATTCTTTTTTATGACTGCATAGTATTCCATGGTGTATATGTAACACATTTTCTTTATTTAGTCATTTAAGTTGATTCCATGTCTTTTTATTGTGAATAGTGCCACAATGAACATATGTGTGTATATGTCTTTATGGAAGAATGATTCACATGTTGAACCATCCTTGTATTTCTGGAGTACAACCCACTTAACTATATTATCTCTTTGATGTACTATTGAATTGATTTTGCTAGTTGAGAATTTTTGCATCTATGTTCATCAGGGATATTGACCAGTAGTGTGTGTGTGTGTGTGTGTGTGTGTGGCTTTGCCTGATTTGGGTATAATTGTGATACTAGATTCATAGAATGTGTTAGGGAGGGAGTCCCTCCTTGATTTTTTTGGATTAAGTTTCAGTCACCTTTGACCCTGAACTAGTATTCTAGTGGATTGTACAATGACCCTGAACTAGTGGATTGTACAATGAATAAATGAATGAATATAAATTATTGCAAAATAAAATTTTGTTAAGTATATGATAACCATACAAATGCAAGACAATAAACAATGTGATGTGAAAACTCTCAGCCAGCCTACCATATTTGTGTTTGTTTTTGAACTGTATAGTGGGAGGAGGTGCTCCTTACAATTTTCACTTTGTAAACATTTATTCTTTGATTTTAACCATCACTGCTATAACCACCGTCACTCGTGGATTCATCAAAAATTAAGTAAAGAATTATCTTATTTATTTTATAAAACTTTGTAAAATGTATGTAGAGCTCAAATTTATTTCATTGTTTAATACTAGAAGTGTTTTGGATCTTTATTTAGAAGTTTGATGATGTTTTGTGACCAGAAATATGCTGTAGGAAATTGACTCTTGTTCATATCATTTAGCCTATGCTAAAATTGGTTTTATTGTATACCATTTTACTCAAAGTTGCCATTTCCAATCACCTATCGACGATGCTGAGTGAGAACTTACTGTATTCAAATATATCTAAATATTCAGTACAGTGGGCCAGGCATGGTGGCTCATGCCCATAATCCCAGCAGTTTGGGAGGCCAAGGCAGGAGGATCACCTGATCCCAGGAGTTCAAAACCAGCCTGGGCAACATAGCAGACCTTGTCTTTACAAAATATTAAAAATTTTTCTGGGTCTCAGCTACTCAGGAGGCTAAGGCAAGAGGATCACTTGAGCTCAGGAGGTTAAGCCTACAGTGAGCCATGTTTGCATCACTGCACTCACCTTGGGCAACAGAATGAGACCCTGTCCCCAAAAATAAATATATATTCAGTACACTGTCAGTAGAGATAATCTCTACATCTTATCCCTGCTGTCCCTTCTGTATCCACAGTTTTCTTACAGCACCTTCTAAGTATTTATTGAATCATTTTCCTCCTCTCCAAACTTTCTCTTTTGCTCTAGCTTAGGCTATTTGTTTCCAACTTTTGCGTGGACTGTGACGGAGCCTTCAATTTGGTCTCTGTCTCCAGTTTTATCCCTAACTAATTCACCAAGACCCTCATATAAAAATCGCAAGACTCATTATATTACTTCCTGCCTAAAACCTTCCCATGGTGCCTTACTTTGCCAAAGTGGGGGGAGACCTTTCTATGATCTGGCCCACCAAGCTCATTCTCCTCCCTCCTTTCCTTGCCCTGTATGTTCCAGCAACACTAAATTACTTGTTGAACCCCATTTAGGTGTATTGTTTATCGCCATTCCTTTATTCATGCTGCCTTCTCTACTTGCTTGTAACCTGCCCTTTACCAAAATAATGAGAGACATAGTGCATTAGAAAATAAACATTTCTGTTTTCTTTCTCAGAAAAATGAACTGTCATGTATGTTTATTTTCTTTCTTTTAAGGGATGTTACTGGCTGGATTTACAATTAGGAATGTTCCATTCATCAGTGAACACGTCCATGTTCCTAACGCATGGTCTTCAATTTTAAGAAGCATTGCCCTTAACATTATTCTAATACGAGCTGGGCTTGGACTCGATCCACAGGTAGATTTACAATTACAAATCGAGTAAGGTTATTTCAAATATTAGAGGATGGTGAGAAAGAAAAAGAAGCAAAAATTGTATTTACCTGTTCCAAGTGGAGTCTGTAAACAAACCTAAGATAAAGAAAAAAAGGCCGGGCATGATGGCTCATGCCTGTAATCTACAAAAATTAGCCGTGCATGGTGGCATTTACCTGGTAATCCCAGCTACTCGGGAGGCTGAGGCAAGAGAATCGCTTGAACCTGAGTGACAGAGGTTGCAGTGAGCTGAGATAGTGCCACTGCAATCCAGCCTGGGGGACAGAGTGAGACTCCGTCTCAAAAAACAAAACAAAACAAACAAACGTTTTATAAGAAAAACCTTATACAATTCTTTTTCTTTTTTTAGGGAGATTAAGGATTTCAGTAATTTTTTATGACGTTTTCTCTACAGGATTATGTTCCTGATTATCTTTGCATTATTGTAAAATCTAATCTTTTAAAGCATTTCTTAAAATATTACATTCTAGGGATCATAAATCCCATCTATAAGAAGATGACTATTCATGAATATGACAGCCACTCAAATAAATGTGGCAAATGTGGTTTAATAGAAATAGCTCAAGAGCATAAATAATTATAGCCAATGAGATTATATTCTCCAGCAGAAAGTATGAACCAAGGAGAAAATTGAAAAGTTCTCCCTTTTAAAATGAATTATGCAGTTTTTAAGTTATTTTCTTTGGCATGTTAGTGTTGTATTTATACTTATTAAGTTAATCAAAGAGTTCATATCAAAAAGTTAATGGGAAAACACTACTAGGACACTATTATTATACTATGTATTAGGAAAGTTCAGGAAGGTAGCATTAGCTATTTAATCACAGTAAAATTGATATTTTCATATTAAAATACAATAATATTTTATAAAAGATGAAATTGTTTATAATCCAACCTATGATGACTTATAAAATATAATAGAGTTCAAAGTCCAGTGGGGCAATCTGTTGAAATGAGATTTTGTTTAGTGAAAGCTTCTTATGAAAAAAGACTTTATAGTCCAACATTTGTTAAAATAATTTTCTTGTTGGCCACTGTAAATGCATCAAATGTGACTGTTTTGTGTTTCAGGCTTTGAGACATTTGAAGGTGGTTTGTTTCAGATTGGCTGTAGGTCCATGCCTTATGGAGGCAAGTGCAGCTGCTGTTTTTTCCCACTTCATTATGAAATTTCCCTGGCAATGGGCAATTCTATTAGGGTAATTTCTTTCTCATTTTTTCTTATGAAAATATTCAATTAAGGATGCTTGTTTAAAACTGTTAAAACATTCAGAATATTGTATAGAAAATCTCTATTAAAATTCATTTCACAGTGTTAAAATCCTTGGAAAGCAGTTGATTAAAAGCAGAGAATGTCCCAAATTGCACGAAATTTTTTTAACAAACATTCATATCCCCTAAATGTTTATCATAAAGAAAATTCACGTGATCAATTTATTCCTTTTCATCTGTATTATAACATATCTGTATGCTTTAGTCTATCTAATGGCCTCTTCCTCATAGCTATATGTAAATACAGTTGCACATTTCATATATATGTATGTGTGTATATATATATTTGAGAAACATTTTATATAGACATAGGTGTATAAATATAAACTCTCCCATTTTAAAGAAAGCAAGCAAACAAAAACTCTTGCCATATATCCAATGCCCCATCCATCTTTATTTACATCCATTTATCTTATGTTTGAATTCCTCAAAATAAGTCTATAACTACTGTCTCTAGATCCTAACTCCTTTTCATTTCTTAATTCATCAACTTTTGTCTCTGCTTATCCATTCCAATGACACTCATAGCAAAGATCATCCATTACATAGTTACTACAAAATCCAGTGAATTTTTAAATTAATGTTTATGATTAAATACTCAAATGCACTTTTATTTTAAAAATTAGAACTTTATAAATAAAGGAGGAATGACCTTAAACTATGCCTTCAAATCATAATGCCCGTAACTCTACCCAAAGTGACAACTCTTAGGAGTTTTTTTCTTCTCCAATTTTTATTTTGGCTCAAGGGGTACATGAGCAGGCTTGTTATATGGATAAATTGCATGTCACAGGGGTTTGGTATGCGGATTATTTTGTCACCCAGGTTGTAAGTATAATACCCAATACGTAGTTTTTCCATTCTCCCCCTCCTTCCACCCTCCACCCTCAAATTCACCTAGTGACAATTGTTCCCTTCTTTCTGTCCATGTGTACTCAGTGTTTAGCTCCCACTTATAAGTGAGAATATGGGATATTTGGTTTCCTGTTCCTGTGTTAATTCACTTTGCATATTGGCCTCAACTCCATCCACGTTGCTCCAAAGGACATGATCTCGTTCTTTCTTATGGCTGTGTATTATTCTATGGTGTATATGTGCCACATTTTCTTTATCTAGTTCACCATTGATGGGCATTTAGGTTGATCTCATGTCTTTTTTATTTTTTTCATTAGTTTTTAAGGAACAGGTGGTGTTTGTTTACATGGAAAATATTTTTAGTGGTAATTTCTGAGATTTTGGTGCACCCATCACCAGAGCAGTGTACACTGCACCCAAGGTGTAGTCTTTTATCCCTCACCCTCCTCCTACTCTTCCCCCTAAGTCCCCAAAGTCCATTGTATCATTCTTATGCTTTTGCATCCTCATAGCATAACTCCCACTTATAAGTCAGAACATACAATGTTTGGTTTTTTCATTCCTGAATTACTTCACTTAGAATAATGGTGTCCAACTCCTTCCAGGCTGCTGTGAATGTCATTATTTCATTCCTTTTTATAGCTGAGTAGTATTCCGTCCATGGTCTGTGTGTGTATATATATACACACATACACACATATACACACATATATATGTGTATATACACACATATACACACATATATATGTGTATATACACACATATATATGTGTGTATATACACATATATACACATATATATGTGTATATACACATATATACATATATACACATATATACACATATATATGTGTATATACACATATATACACATATATATGTGTATATACACATATATACATATATACACATATATGTGTGTATATACACATATATACACATATATGTGTGTATATACACATATATACATATATACACATATATGTGTGTATATACACATATATATATACACCACATTTTCTCTATGCATTCATTGATTGATGGGCATTTGGGCTAGTTCCATATCTTTCACAATTGCAAATTTTGCTGCCAAAAACGTGTGTGCAAGTGTTTTTTTCATATAATGACTTCTTTTCCTCTGGGTAGATACCCAGTAGTGGGATTGCTAGATCAAATGGTAGATCTACTTTTAATTATTTAAGAAATCTTCATACTCTTTTCCATAGCGGTTGTACTAGTTTACATTCCCCCCAGCAGTGTAAAAGTGTTCCCTTTTTACCACACCCATGGCAACATCAATTTTTTTTAATTTTTTGATTATGGCTCTTCTTGGAGGAGTGAGATGGTATCGCATTTTGGTTTTGTTTGCATTTCCCTGATAATTAGCGATATTGAGGATTTTTTCATGTTTCTTGGCCATTTATATCTTCTTTTGGGAAGTGTCTATTCATGTCCTTAGCACACTTTTTGATAGGATAAATTGTTTTTTTCTTGCTGATATGAGTTCCTTATAGATTTTGGATATTAGTACTTTGTTGGATGCATAGTTTGTAAAGATTTTCTCCCACTCTATAGGTTGTCTTTTTACTCTGCTGATTATTTCTTTTGCTGTGTAGAAGCTTCTTAGTTTAATTAAGTCCCATCTATTTATCTTTGTTTTTGTTGCCTTTGCTTTTGGGTTCTTGGTCATGAAGTCTTTGCCTAAGCAAATGTCTAGAAGGGCATTTCCAATGTTACCTTCTAGAATTTTTATAGTTTTAGGTGTTAGATTTAAGTCTTTGATCCATCTTGAGTTGATTTTTGTATAAGGTGAGAGATGAGGATGCAGTTTCATTCTTCTACATATGGCTTGCCAAATATCCCAGCACTGTTTGTTGAATATGGTGTCCTTTCCCAACTTTATGTTTTTGTTTCCTTTGTTAAAGATCAGTTGGCTTAAGTATTTGGCTTTATTTCTCAGTTCTCTATTCAGTTCCATTAGTCTATGTGCCTATTTTTATACCAGTATTATGCTGCTTTGGTGAATATAGCCTTATAATATAGCTTGAAGTCAAGCAATGTGATGCATCCACACTTGTTCTTTTTGCTTAGTCTTGCTTTCATTATGCGGACTATTTTTGGCTTCCACATGAATTTTAGGATTGCTTTTTCTAGCTCAGGGAAGAATGATGATGTAGATTGCTTTTGGCAGTATGGTCATTTTCACAATATTGATTCTACCTATCCATGAGCATGTGATGTGTTTTTATTTGTTTGTGTCATCTATGATTTCTTTCTGCAGTGCTTTGTAGTTTTCACTGTAGAGGTCTTTCACCTCCTTGGTTAGGTATATTCCTAAGTTGGTTTGCTTGGGGTTTTTTTCTTTGGTTTTGTTTGTTTGTTTTGTTTTTTTTGTAGCTGTTTTAAAAGGGGTTGAGATCTTGATTTAATTCTCAGCTCAGTCACCGTCAGTGTATACCAGTGCTACTGATTTGTGTACATTGATGTTGTATCCTGAAACGTTACTGAACTCATTTATCAGATCTAGGAGCTTTTTGGATGAGTCTTTAGGGTTTTCTCATTATATGATCATATCATCAGGAACAGCAACAGTTTGACTTCCTCTTTACTGATTTAGATGCCCTTTATTTCTTTCTCTTGTCTGATTGCTCTGGCTAGGACTTCCAGTACTATGTTGAATAGAAGTGGTGAAAGTGGGCATCCTTGTCTTTTTCCAGTTCTCAGGGGAATGCTTTCAACTTTTCCCCGTTCAGTATAATGTTGGCTGTGGGTTTTTCTTTCTTTCTCTTTCTGTATTTTTTTTTTGAGATGGAGTCTTGCTCTGTTGCCCAGGCTAGAGTGCAATGGCCCAATCTCAGCTCACTGCAACCTCTGCCTCCCAGGTTCAAGCAATTCTCATGCCTCAGCCTTCCAAAGACCTGGGAGTAGCTCCCCAAACTCGCCAGCATCTATTACTTTTTGACTTTTTAATAATAGCCATTCTGCCTCCTGTGAGGTTGTATCTCATTGCACTTTTGTTTTGCATTTCTCCAATGATTAGTGATGTTGAATATTTTTTCGTATACTTGTTGACTACGTGTTTGTCTTCTTTTGAGAAGTGTCTTGTCCTGTCCTTTGCGCATTTAATGAGGTTGTTAGATTTTTGCTTGTTGATTTTTCTAAGTTCTTTTTGGATTCTGGATATCAGACTTTTGTCGAATGCATGGTTTGCAAATATTTTCTTCCATTCCATAGGTTGTTTGTTGATGATATCTTTTGCTGTGCAGAAGCCCTTTAGTTTAATTAGGTCCCATTTGTCAATTTTTGTTTTTGTTGCAATTGCTTTTGGCATCTTTGTCATAAAGTGTTTTCCAGAATTGAAATTTCCTAGGATATGTCCAGAATGGCCTGTATCCAGAATGGTATTTCTTAGGCTATCTTCCAGGGTTTTTATAGTTTTGGGTTTTACACTTAAGTCTTTAATCTACCTTGAGTTGATTTTTGTAAACAGTGAAAAGTATGGAGTCCAGTTTCAATTTTCTGCATACGGCTAGCCAGTTATCCCACCACAATTTCCAAGTAGGGATTCCCTTCCCCATTGCTTGTTTTTGTCAAGTTTGTTGAAGAGTAGATGGCTATAGGTGTGTGGCTTTATTTCTGCGTTCTGTAACTTGTTCCACTGGTCTATGTCTGTTTTTGAGTTCCTTATAGATTCTGGATATTAGTACTTTGCTGGGTGCATAGTTTGTAAAGATTTTCTCCCACTCTATAGGTTGTCTTTTTACTCTGCTGATTATTTATTTTGCTGAGCATAACCATGCTGTTTTGCTTACTGTAGCATTGTAGTACAGTTCGAAGTCAGGTAGTGTGACGCTTTTGACTTTGTTCTTTTTGCTTAGGATTGCTTTGGCTATTTGGGCTTTTTTTTTTTTTGGCTCCAAATGAATTTTAGAATGCTTTTTTTTTAATCCTGTGAAAAATGTCATTGGTGTTATGATAGGAATGGCATTGACTCTGTAAATAGCCTTAGACAGTATGGACATTTTAACAATATTGCTTCTTCCTATCTGTGATCATGGAATGTTTTCCTTTTGTTTCTGTTGTCTCTGATTCTTTGAGCACTCGTTTGTAATTTTCATTTTAGAGATTTTTCACCTCCCTGCTTAGCTGTATTCCAAGGTATTTTGTAGTTTTTTTTGTGGCTACTGTGAATGGGATTGCATTCTTGATTTGGCTGTCAGCTTGGATGTTGTTGCTGTATAGAAATGCTACAGATTTGTGTACATTAATTTTTGTATCCTGAAACTTTGCTGAAGTCATTTGTCAGATCTGGGAGCTCTCGAGAGGCTACTATGGGGTTTTCTTGGTATAAAAGTGTTTCACCCAAGAAGAGGCATAGTTTGACTTCCATTCTTCGTATTTAGATGTCTGTGTTTCTTTCTCTTGCCTAATTGCACTGGCTAGGACATCCAGCACTATGTTGAATAGGAGTAGTGAGAGTGGGCATCCTTGTCTTGTTCCAGTTCTCAAAGGGAATATTCCAGCTTTTTCCCATTCAGTATGAAGTTGGCTGTGGGTTTGTCATAAATGGCTTCAATTATTTTGAGGTATGCTCCTTCAGTAACTCATTTGTTGAGGGTTTATATCAAGAAGGGATGTTTTTATTTTTAGTTCTATTTTATGATGAATCACATTTATTGGTTTGTATATCTTGAACCAAACTTGCATCCCAGCAATAAATCTTACATGATCATAGTGGACTAGCTTTTTGATGTGCTGCTGGATTCAGTTGGCTTGTATTTTGTTGAGGATTTTTGCATCTATGATTATCAGTGATAACTGTCCTGAAGTTTTCTTTTTTGCTGTGTCTCTGCCAGGTTTTCATATCTGAATGATGCTGACCTCATAAAATGAGTTAGGGAGGGATCCTTCCTCCTCATTTTTTCAGAATGATTTCAGTAGCATTGGTACCAGCTCTTCTTTACACTTCTGGTAGAATTTGTCTGTGAATCTGTTGGGTCCTGGGCTTGCTTTTTTTTTTTTTTTTTGGCTCAGAGACTTTTTATTACTCATTCAGTTTCAGAACTCATTTTTGGTTTGTTCAGGATTTCAATTTCTTCCTAGTTCAATCTTGGGAGGTTGTATGTTTCCAGAAATGTACCCATTTCTTGTAGGTGTTCTACTTTGTTTTCATAAACATGTTCATCTTAGTCTCTGAGAGTTTTTTGTATTTCTGTGTGGTTGGCGGTAATGTCCACTTTACCATTTCTGATTGTGTTTTTTGTATCTTCTCTTTTTTTTTTCCTTATTGGTCTAGCTAGTGACCTATCAAATTTATTTATTCTTTCGAAGAACCAGCTTTTAGTTTCATTTATCTTTTGTATGGCTTTTCATGACTCAATTTCATTCCATTCTGCTCTGATTTTGGTTGTTTATTTTCTTCTGCTAGCTTTGGGTTGGTTTCCTCTTGTTTTTCTGTTTCCTTTAGGTATGATATTAGGTTGTTAATTTAAGATCCTTCTAACTTTTCAATATGGGCATTTAGCACTATAAACTTTTCCCTTAACACTGCTTTGCCTGTGTCTTAGAGAGCCTAGAATATTGTATCTTTGTTTTAATTAGTTTCAAAAAATATATTGGTTTCTGCCTTAATTTCATTGTTTACCCAAAAGTCATTCAGGCACAGGTTGTTTAATTTCCATGTAATTTTATGGTTTTGAGAGTTCTTCTTAGTGTTGACTTCTATTTTTGCTACACTGAGCGGTCCAAGAGTGTGGTTGGCATGATTTCAGGGGCTTCTTTTAATTTATTGAAAATAATTTTAGACTGATAGTGTGATCAATTTTACAATATATGCCATGTACAGATGAGAAGAAGATATATTCTGTTGTTGTTGGGTGGAGTGTTCTGTAGATGGCTGTTAGGTCCATTTAGCCAAATGTTGACTTCAAGTCCTGAATATCTTTGTGCATTTTCTGTCTCTATGATCTGTCTAGTACCATCAGTGAGATGTTGAAGTCTCCCACTATTATTCTGTGGTTATCTAAGTCTCTCTATAGGTCTCTATGAACTTGTTTTACAAATGTGAATGCTCCAGTTTTGAGCACATTTATCTTTCAGACAGTTAAGTCTTCTTGTTGAATTGAACCCTTTATCATTACATAGTACCCTTCTTTGTCTCTTTGATTGTTGTTGGTTTAAAGTCTATTTTGTCTGTATTAGAATAACAATGCTTACCCTTTTTTGTTTTGCATTTGCTTGGTAGATTTTTTTCCATCCTTTTACTTCAAGCCAAGGGGTATTGTTGCATATGAGCTGGGTCTCTTGACAACAGATACAGTTGGGCTTTGCTTCTTTATCCAACTTGCCATTCTGTGAGTTTTAAGCAGGGCATTTATACTGTTTACATTCACAGTTAATGGTATTTATAGCTTTGGTCCTGCCATTATGTTGTTAGCTGGTTATTATGCAGACTTGATTGTGTAGTTACTTTACAACGTCAATGGTCTATGTACTTAAATGTATTTTTGTGGTGGCCATTAACAGTCTTTCACTTCCACGCTTAGCACTCCCTTAAGGACCTCTTGTAAGGCATGTCTGGTGGTAACAGATTCCGTTAGCATTTGTTTGTCTGAAAAGGATCTTACTTCTCCTTCACATATGAAGTTTAGTTTGGCTGGATATTAAGTTCTTGGTTGAATTTTTTTTTTTTTTTTTTTGCAACAGAGTCTTGCTCTGTCCCCAGGCTGGAGTGCAGTGGTGCTATCTCGGCTCACTGCAACCTCCACCTCCTGGGTTAAGTGATTCTCTTGCCTCAGCCTCCCAAGTAGCTGGGACTACAGACACGCACCACCATACCCAGCTAATTTTTGTATTTTTATTAGAGATGAGGTTTCACCATGTTGGCCAGGATGGTCTTGATCTCTTGACCTTGTGTTCTGCCCTCCTCAGCCTCCCAAAGTGCTGGGATTACAGGCATGAGCCACCATACCCGGCCAAGTATTTTTTTTTTAAGAATGCTGAAGGCCAGGTGTGGTGGCTCACACCTGTAATCCCAGCACTTTGAGAGGCCGAGGTGGGCAGATCACGAGGTCAGGAATTTGAGACCACCTTGGCCAATATGGTGAAATCCTGTCTCTACTAAAATTACAAAAAATTGCCAGGTGTTGTGGTGTGCACCTGTAGTCCCAGCTACTTGGGAGGCTGAGGGAGAAGAATTGCTTGAACCCGGGAAGTGGAGGTTGCAGTGAGCCGAGATAGCACCAGTGCACTCCAGCCTGGGCAACAGAGTGAGACTCCGTCTCGAAAAAAAAAAAAAGAATGCTGAATATAGGCCCCCAATTTCTTTTGGATTGTAGAGTATCTTATAGTTCTTATAGTTCCACTGTTAGCCTGGTGGGATTCCCTTTGTATGTGACCTGCTCCTTCACTTTAGCTGCCTTTCATATTTTTTTATTTCATGTTGACCTTGGGGAATCTGATGACTCTCTGTCTTGGGGATGGTCATCTTGTATAGTATCTCACAGGATTCTCTGCATTTCCTGGATTTAAATGGTGACTTCTCTAGCAAGATTTGGGAAATTTTTGTGGGCAGTATCCTCAAATATGTTTTCCAACTTGCTTGTTCTTTCTCCCTTTCTTTGAGTGGTGCCTTGAGTCATATGTTTGGTCTCTTTACATAAGCTCAGATTTCTCAGAGGTTTTGTTCATTCTTTTTTGTCGTTTATTTTCATATGACTGAGTTGATTCAAAGAAGTGGTCTTTGAGATCTGGGATTCTTTCCTCAGCTTGGTCCGTTCTACTGTTAGTACTTGTTATTGCATTATGAAATTCTTGAGGTGCATTTTTCAGCTCTATCAGTTTAGTTTGGTTCTTTCTTAAAATGCCTATTTCATCTTTCAGCTCTTATGTCATCTTATTGGATTCCTTAGATTATTTGGATTGGATTTTGACTTTCTTCTGAATCTCAATGATCTTTGTTTCTATCCAGATTCTGAAATCTATGTCTGTCATTTAGTCCTGGTTAACAACCATTGTTGGAGAGTTAGTATGATTGCTTGAAGACAGGAAGACATTCTGGCTTTTTACATTGCCAGAGTTCTTGCACTGGTTCTTTCACATCTGTGTGGGCTAAGGTTCCTTTAATGTTTTGACTCACTGTCCTTTGGATGGAGTTTTTTCCTTTTTTATATTCTTTAATGCCCTTGAGGGTTTAACTGTGGCACAAGGTAGTTTCAGTCAAATGGCTTCATTTCTGGAAGATTTCAGGGGGCAAAGGC
This sequence comes from Homo sapiens, assembly GCF_000001405.40. NCBI lineage: Eukaryota > Metazoa > Chordata > Mammalia > Primates > Hominidae > Homo > Homo sapiens. The sequence goes on along the minus strand of NT_187383.1, from coordinate 428,513 downwards.
TCAGCTCAGCACTCCTGAACTGCATGCTCTAACTTTGCAAGGCTGGTACCATACCCACAGATTTGTTGTCTGGCCCTTCAATGTTAAGCACTAAGGTGTTCCCAGTCCACTGGCAACAACACTCTGATGGGATGTGCCAGCCAAAGTGCTTCACTGTAGTGATTGTAGCAAGGTCCCCACTCACACATACGTGCCAGCAGCAGCAGCACACAGCAGGTATGCATGTGTTGGCAGGGGTGCAGTGCCGGCAGGAGTGGGATGGGGGTGTTCTGCATACTTGCACGTGCCAGCCGGGGCAATGGTGCTGTGGGGTGCACTCATGTGCCGCTGGAGACAGAGTGGCAGCATCTTCGTGAGTTTTATGTTATCATTCTAGAGCTTTAAAAATAATGTTCTGGACTTCTAACAAATGTATTTGTGAACCCAGAGAAAAAAAGAGTATTATTTTGTGCATTTTTATGTAATCATACCCAAGAAAATTTTACTTTACAATTTGTTCTTTTCACTCAACAATAGTCTCAAGGTTTATCCATCTCAAGATGGATACACATGTAGTTTATTCCTTTTAATTGTATAAGATTACATTGTATGTCAACAGCAGATTTTATTTACAATGTTATAACAAAAATAGCATTTTATTTGTCTCATTTTACATAACTATAAGTTTGTCTAGAATAGTTACCTGGGTTACATGCATTTTTAGTTTGATATATACAGCCAAAATCCTTTCGGTATGGCCACTTTAATTTGCCCTAATACCAGTAGCTTATGAGCATACCTGTTGTTCTTGAAAATCCTTGCAAATCCTTGATATTATTAAATTTTATAATGTTTTCCAGTCTGATAATTGAAAAAATGGCATATTTTTGTTATTTTAATTTGCATTTCTGTGATTATTCACAAGCTTGAATATATTTTATATATGTGTTGTCCTTCAGCTTTTCCTTATCTGTAGCTAGCCTGTTCATATCTTTGTCCATTTTTTTGTTGAGTTGGTCTTCTGTATTAATTATATATGTTATATGCATTTGTAAATTATATGTACTGCAAATATCAGTAGATATTTAATTTTGTTTGTGATGATTTTTTTCACTCTAATAAGTGTATTTTGTTATTTTCAACAGACAGAATTGCCAATACACAACACTGTTCACTTGACTTTGAAAATGAAAAAGAGAAAAAGGGGGAGAAAGAGCAGAATTGCTTTCGAAGTAGTACTTTATTATAGTACTTTTGAAGTTGCTTTTGAAGTACTACTTTAATATAATTGAATGTATCAAAATCTCTTTTTATGTCTAATGCCTTTGTATGTATCATTCAAAAGGTCCTTTTTACCTCATGATCACAAATATATTATTCTACATCTTTTTGTTGTTGTTGTTCACAGTCTTGCTGTCACCCAGGCTGTAGTGCAGTGGCATGATCTCAGCTCACTGCAACCTCCACCTCCCAGGTTCAAGTGATTCTCCTGCCTCAACCTCCCAAGCGGCTGGGACTACAGGCATGCACCACTGCACCCAGCTATTGGTTTTGCCATGTTGGCCAGGCTGGTCTCAGATTCCTGATCTGTCCGCCTCAGCCTCCCAAAGTGCTGGGATTACAGGTGTGAGCCATCACGCCTAGCCCACTACATTTTCTTATTACTACTTTTCCTTTTGAGCTTTTAACAGTTATTATGTGTAAGGATCTATCTATATTCCTTTCCACATAAATAGTTATCTCAACACCATTTGTGAAAGATTTCTTTCTTTCTCCCACTGATTTAAAATACCAATTTATGATGTAACAAATCCCATAGATTTGTTTCCACACTTTGTATTCTCTTTTCTTCCAATTTATTTTGTCTATTTATATGTCACTATTATTCAGTTTTAACTATTTAACCTTTACAAAAATAGTATCTGGTTTTCTTAAGTTTACTTGATCTTTCATTCTAAGATCTTATTCTTCCAAATGAATTTTATAATCAGCTTTTCAAGCTCAGTAAAAGTCCCTGCAAAGATTTTGATTGGTGTATCTCTGATTAATTCATTTGGGGAGAGATTACATCTTTATATTATTGAGGCTTTGGCTGGGCATGGTGGCTCACACTTATAATCCCAGCACTTTGGGAGGCCAAGGCAGGCATATCACTTGAGGTCAGGAGTTCAAGACCAGCCTGGCCAAAATGGTGAAACACTGTATCTACTAAAAACACAAAAACTAGCCAGGCGTGGTGTTGGGCAATGGTAAAATTGGGGCTTTTTAGTTCACACTTGTGAAATGTGTAAGTATTCAGGTATTATCTTAATTATTATATTATTATATTCACAATTTTTATAAAAGTATAGACTGTCTTCACAGTTTTGTTCTTAGATACTTTGTGTTTTTAATTGATGTTGTGGATTAAATTCTCTTTGATCACTTATTCCTGGGGAAGCCAGCTGCCATGTCCTGAGGCAGCCCTGTGGAGAAAACCCCATTGGAAAAAACTGAAGCCTGCAATGGCTACATGAGTAAACTTGGAAGCAGATCTTCTCCACCCCACCCTACCTCATGGGAAATCTTAAGTCAAGGCATACAGCTAAGCCATGCCCAGATTCCTGACCCACAGAAGCATAAGACAATAAATATTTGTTGTTTTAAGCTGCTATGTTTGGGGATGACTTGTTAAGCAAAATGAGAAAAATAATACAACAGGTGATTACAATGTGCAGCAGAGTTCAGGAACCACTGAACTAGACCAGTATGTGGTCTTAGAGAAGTCTAGTCTCTTCTTGAGCCCACAGGGAAATCTGTAGCATAAACTGTGCCATAGAGTTGTACAGCCGGAAGCAAATCTCACATCAGTCCGTCATTGGCAGATGCTGTCTGGAGGGAAAGTAGAGGGGTGCGCAACCTCTCTAGTATTCCCAGGTAGGTGCTTGTCAGCAGGACAAGGGTTCTAGAAACCTGCAGATATTAGCAGCCAACAAGAAGCACTGGGAGATGTGTTCATTGACCTGGTAAATGGATTCTGGCAGGAGCACCAAAAGCATTTTTACACAGGATATACTTCACACTTTATAAAGTAAATGTAGAAGAGATGAGGTGAAATTCTGGATAAGATATGCCAATAGAAGGTATTCTGAGCAGGAGCCTCCCCATTCCTCATGGGTGTCATCAACCACTCCAGAAATGTTCTCATTTGCCTTTGTAACTTAGGTGGCCACACTTGTTTTTTTGGGCAGACAACTCTGTTCCTTCCTTCCTTCCTTACTTATTTACTCAAGAGGTAGGAAATGTGTGGAAGGTAGATTTGTCTGACCATTCTTACAGTGCTACTCCAAATAATAGACTATTTGGTTTCCCCGGAGGTCTCTCCTGCTCCCAGCATCTGTCATTTCAGGGCTTGGACCACTTTTAGAAGCACATGTATCTTTTGAGGCAATCTTATTTACACACATTTTGGTTTATGGTTTCCTTTTTTCAATGCTAAATTGTCTGTCTCTTATCTTTCTGGCATATACTTAGTTTCTTGTCCATTGATGATTCACCTTTTGCTTTCTAGTTAGGTTATGAATTTTTCTATGACCTTTACATCTTCACTTCAAAGGATTTAGGAATAGAGGGAGAGGCTGCAACCTGTGCTCAGCCCAACATTTTAAACCACGTCTGTATAAAATTTTAGCCAGCACTAAACAATGCATGAAAAGTTTTATCACCATTAAATTGCATTCACTCAAATTTGAAATTCTTCTAAACAATGTTTGTTATACATTTATTATAAACTATTTGTACTTATAAAACACTACTTGATTAAAAAGATGCTTTTAAATTAATTTTCATTCTTTCTTTCAGTTTTGTTCTAGGTGCTGTCTCTCTTGCTGTTGTTGTCCTTTACACGATGGTGTTGCAAGAAAATGGATATGGTGTTGAGGAAGACATTCCAACCTTACTAATGGCTGCTAGCAGTATGGATGACATTCTGGCTATCACTGGATTCAATACATGCTTGAGCATAGTCTTCTCCTCGGGTAAACAAGAAAATATAACAACCACCAGATCATTCATGACCTTTTTTGTTAGTTCTTTAAACAGGGTTTCTGGCTTTGCTTCTTCATTTATTAACCAAGACTGTTCAATTTAACATCTTTTTAATCTCCATAGAAAGCTCATTCCAGACCAAGGAAGATATTTCAGTGGCTTAAGATACCACTACTTAACACACATGATCTCACTTTAATAATCATGTGACAATTAATTTGATAAACCATATTATTTCTATTTATCTGCTTATGTTGCTTTTGAATTTTATCAGTTCTCATTAGAAAAAATTAAGCAGCAGTATTATTTGTACTACTAATATTTTAATAGGCATTTTTGAAATGTGCCTTTTTGGCCATCCTAATAAACAAATGGTTGCTCTATCATAAGACGACATAAACATACAGAGCTGGGACAGCCATATGCCTTTTTGGTAGTGTTAGGACAAGATCCTGCACCAGTTCTGATTCCCAAGGTGATATCTGGTCTTGAATATCACTACAGAAATTGTGAAACTAAATATTTCCACATTAAGTAATGCTTTAATTATCTGCAATGTTTGAGTCTTCTGTATTACTGAAGCACTAAACTATTTTTAAGTTGAAAAGTAATATATATAGTTTTATAGTTTCTCTTAAAATAAGAAAATATAAATAAATAAGAAAAAGAGGAAAAGTTAAAAATAAAATCTGCAATAGTCACATCCAGAAGAAAAGAATCATTTCCTTCTGAACCTTTTGATATAAACCCACCCATATTCCCTTCCCTTCCCTTCTTCCCTTCTTCCCTTCCCTTCCCTTCCCCTCTCTTCCCCCTTCCCTTCCCTTACCCCTCTCTCTGTCAAATATTCTTATAAAAATCAGTGAATATTGACCAATATGTTCTTTTATTTTTTTTTTTGAGGCGGAGTCTTGCTCTGTCACCCAGGTTGGAGTGCAGTGGCACAATCTCAGCTCACTGCATGCTCTGCCTCCCGGGTTCATGCCATTCTCCTGCCTCAACCTCCAAAGTAGTTGGGACTCAGGCGTCTGCCACCATGCCCGGCTAATTTTTTTTGTGTTTTTAGTAGATCCAGGGCTTCAACATGTTAGCCAGGATGGTCTTGATCTCCTGACCTCGTGATCCTCCTGCCTCGGCCTCCCAAAGTGCTGGGATTACAGGCTTGAGCCATCGCACCCAGCCTAATATGTTCTTATAACCTGAATTGTTTTACACTTAACTGTATATCACAAACATGTTTCTTTTCAGTAAATGTGTTTGTATATCATTTTAAATAGTTGTTTAGCTTAATGAAAGAGTATTCAATGTGCTGCATCATGATTACTCATCCTGTTCAAAATTAAAGTTAACTCCAATATTTGCTATTAAAATAATGCTTAGTTGTGCTGCTATAAAAATATTTTTTTAAATTAAAAAATTGGCCGGGCATGGTGGCTGACACCTATAATCCCAGCATTTTGGGAGGCCAAGAAGGGTGGATCACTTGAGGTCAGGAGTTCAAGACCAGCCTGGCCAACCAACATGGTGAAACCCCGTCTCCACTAAAAATACAAAACTTAGCCGGGCATGGTGGTGGGCATCTGTAATCCCAGCTACTCAGGAGGCTGAAGCAGAAGAATCACTTGAACTCAGGAGGCGGAGGCTGTAGTGAGCTATCCAGCCTGGGCAACAGAGTGAGACCCTGTCTCAAAAAGTTTTTCTTACTTAAAAAAATAATACTTAGTTGAACATATAGAGAAATATTTGTACCTAATCTTCATATTTTCTTAAGCTTAAAAGTGTAATTGTTGATCTAAAAGGTGTATACGTTTATGAGTGTTCTGAAACATATTGCCACAATATCATGTCCTACCAGGGTACATAAACTTGTCATTTCCTCTCACCTCTCTTCAAAATTTGGTATTACTAGCCTTTTTCATCTTTGCTAATTTGATAGGTGAAGGAGGGATCTCTGTAAATGAAGTACTTTGAATACTAGTGATGTTAAATATCCATGTTTATTAGTCATTGGCATTTTGTAAACTGCTTTTCTTGAAAGTTTTCTGCCTACTTCTTTTAGGTGGGTTCACCTTTTGTTCTTTTTGATTTGTCAAGATTCTGCATTAAATTGAGAATGAAAACCTTTGTTTTATATACTTTAGTTTTTTCAATTTGTAATTTGGCTTTTAATTTTCTCACCCTTTTTACCATTCAGAAGTTAAAGTTTTTTATTGTCAATTGTCAAAATCTTTTCCTTCATGATTGGTATCTGTCATTCTTTCAAAAATATTGTTATCAGTCATGTTTCAAAAAAATATTTCCAGGCTGGACCCAATGGCTCATGCCTATAATCCCAACACTTTGGGAGGCCAAAGCGGGTGGATCACTTGAGGACATGAGTTCAAGACCAGCCTGGCCAACATAGCAAAGCTCCATCTCCACTAAAAATACAAAAAGTTAGCTGGGTGTGGTGGCACAGGCCTGTAATCCCAGCTACTCAGGGGGCTGAGGCACAAGAATCACTTGAACCCAAGAGGCAGAGGTTGCAGTGAGCCAAGATCACACCATGGCACTCCAGCCTGGGTGACAGAGGGAGACTGTCTGAAAAAAATAAAAAAAAAAATCCTCTTCCTTTTGCTGGCTACTATGCCAAACACTGAGAATGAACAGTAGGCAACAACATTAGCTTTTATTGAATACTTGCTTGGCTCTTGTTCTAAGTTCCATATATGTCACCACTCATTTACAGGTAAGGAAACTGAGAAAGATGTTAAATAATTTACTCAAGGACAGAGATCCAATAAGTAGGGGAGCCAAGATGCAAATCTGACAGTCTCACTCCACACCCACACATTTAACTCTTCTCTTCTCCACTGCCTCCCAACACAACAGAGAGACAAGATCAAATGGTGCATGTTCTCAACGAGCTTGTATATTAAAGAAAAATTACAAATGGGATGAATATTACATTGTGTAGGTTAATATTAAGTAAGTGTCAACTTGATTGGATTGAAGGATCCAAATTATTGTTCCCGGTTGTGTCTGTGAGGGTGTTGCCAAAGGAGATTAACATTTATTTAGTGGACTGGGAAAGGCAGATCCACCCTCAATGTGGGTGGGCACCATAAAATCAGCTGCCAGCATGGCTCGAATAAAGCAGGCAGAAGAAGGTTAGGAGAAGCTGACTTGCTGAGCCTTCTGGCCCTCATCTTTCTCCCATGCTGGATGCTTCCTGCACTCAAATATCAGACTCCAGGTTCTTTGGCTTTTGGACTCTTGGGCTTACTCCAGTTGTTTTCCAGGGGCTCCCAGGCCTTCATCCAGAGACTCAAAGCTGGCCTGTCGGTTTCCCTACTTTTGAGGTGTTGGGACTCGGACTAAGCCAATACTAGATTCCTTGCTCCTCAACTTGCAGACGGCCTGTTGTAGGACTTCACTTTGTGATGGTGTGATTCAATTCTCCTTAATAAACTCCCTGTCATATATATATATGTATGTGTATATATATATGTATGTATATATATGTATATATATATATGTATGTATATATATGTATGTGTATATATATATATGTATGTGTATATATATATATATCTCCTACTAGTTCTATCCCTCTAGAGAACCATGGCTAATACAGATTTTGATACTGAGGTAATGGAGTATTGCTATAAGATACCTAAGAATGTGGAAGTGACTTTGGAACTGTGTAATATGCAGAGTTTGGAACAGTTGAGAGGACTCAGAAGAAGACCAGAAGATGTGGGAAAGTTTGGAACTGCCTAGAGACTTGTTGAATGGCTTTGACCAAACTGCTGATAGTGACTTGGACAGTGAAGTCCAGGCTGAGGAGGTCCGAGATGGAGATGAACAACTTGTTGAGAACTGAAGTAAAGGTCACTCCTGCTATGCTTTAGCAAAGAGAATGGTGGCATTTTGCCCCTGCCCTACAGATTTATGGAACTTTGAAAATGAGAGAGATGACTGAGGACATCTGGTAGAAGAAACGTTTGTTGTTGTTGTTGTTGTTGTTATACCTTAAGTTCTAGGGTACATGTGCACAACGTGCAGGTTTGATACATAGGCACACATGTGCCATGTTGGTTTGCTGCACCCATCAACTCATCATTTACATTAAGTATTTCTCCTAATGGTCTCCCTCCCCCAGCCCTCCACCCCCCAACAGGCCCCAGTGTGTGATGTTCCCAGCCCTGTGTCTAAGTGATCTCATTGTTCAATTCCCATCTATGAGTGAGAACATGCGGTGTTTGGTTTTCTGTCCTTGTGATAGTTTTGCTGAGAATGATGGTTTCCAGCTTCATCTATCTCCCTGCAAAGGACATGAACTCATCCTTTTTTATGGCTGCATAGTATTCCATGGTGTATATGTGTCACATGTCTTAATCCAGTCCATCATTAATGGACATTTGGGTTGGTTCCAAGTCTTTGCTATTGTTAATAGTGCCGCAATAAACATACATGTGCATATGTCTTTATAGTAGCATGATTTATAATCCTTTGGATATATATCCAGTAATGGGATTGCTGGGTCAAATGGTAATTCTAGTTCTAGATCCTCGAGGAATTGCCACAATGTCTTTCACAATGGTTGAACTAGTTTACACTCCCACCAACAGTGTAAAAGCATTCCTATTTCTCCATATCCTCTCCAGCATCTGTTGTTTCCTGACTTTTTAATGATTGACATTCTAACTGGGGTGGGATGGTATCTCATTGTGGTTTTGATTTGCATTTCTTTGATGACCAGTGATGATGAGCTTTTTTTCTTGTGTCTGTTAGCTGCATAGATGTCTTCTTTTGAGAAGCGTCTATTCATATGTTTGCCCACTTTTTGATGGGGTTGTTTTTTTCTTGTAAATTTGTTTGAATTCTTTCTTTGTCAAATGGGTAGATTGCAATTTATCTCCCATTCTGTATGTTGCCTGGTTCACTCTGATGGCAGTTTCTTTTGCAGTACAGAAGCTCCTTAGTTTAATTAGATCCCATTTGTCAATTTTGGCTTTTGTTGCCATTGCTTTTGGTGTTTTAGTCATGAAGTCCTTGCTCATGCCTATGTCCTGAATGGTATTGCCTAGGTTTTCTTCTAGGGTTTTTATGGTTTTAGGTCTAACATTTAAGTCTTTTATCCATCTTGAATTAATTTTTGTATAAGATGTAAGGAAGGGATCCAGTTTCAGCTTTCTACATATGGCTAGCCAGTTTTCCCAGCATCATTTATTAAATAGGCAATCCTTTCCCCATTTCTTGTTTTTGTCAGGTTTGTCAAAGATCAGATGGCTGTAGATGTGTGGTCTTATTTCTGAGGCCTCTGTTCTGTTCCATTGGTCTATATATCTGTTTTGGCACCAGTACCATGCTGTTTTGGTTACTGTAGCCTTGTAGTATAGTTTGAAGTCAGGTAGTGTGATGCCTCCAGCTTTGTTCTTTTTGCTTAGGATTGTCTTGGCAATGCAGGCTCTTTTTTAGTTTCATATGAACTTTAAAGTAGTTTCTTTTTCCAATTCTGTGAAGAAAGTCATTAGAAGCTTGATGGGGATGGTATTGAATCTATAAATTACTTTGTGCAGTATGGTCTTTTTCATGATATTGATTCTTCCTATCCATGAGCGTGGAATATTCTTCCATTTGTTTGTGTCCTCTTTTAATTCATTGAGCAGTGGTTTGTAGTTCTCCTTGAAGAGGTCCTTCACAACCCTTGTGAGTTGGATTCCTAGGTATTTTATTCTCTTTGTAGCAATTGTGGATGGGAGTTCACTCATGATTTGGCTCTCTGTTTGTCTATTAATGGTGTATAGGAATGCTTGTGATTTTGGCACGTTGATTTTGTATCCTGAGACTTAGCTGAAGTTGCTTATCAGCTTAAGGAGATTTTGGGCTGAGATGATGGGGTTTTCTAAATATACAATCATGTCATCTGCAAACAGGGACAATTTGACTTCATCTTTTCCTAACTGAATACAATTTATTTCTTTCTCCTGCCTGATTCCACTTTTCAGAACTTCCAACACCATGTTGAATAAGAGTGGTGAGGGAGGGCATCCTTGTCTTGTGCCGGTTTTCAAAAGGAATGCTTCCAGTTTTTGCCCATTCAGTATGATATTGGCTGTGGGTTTGTCATAAATAGCTCTTATTATTTTGAGATACGTCCCATCAATACCTAGTTTATTGAGAGTTTTTAGCATGAAGGAGTGTTGAAGTTTGTCAAAGGCCTTTTCTGCATCTATTGAGATAATCATGTGGTTTTTGTCTTTGGTTCTGTTTATGTAATGGATTACGTTTATTGATTTGCATATGTTGAACCAGCCTTGCATCCCAGGGATGAAGCCCACTTGATCGTGGTGGATAAGCTTTTTGATGTGCTGCTGGATTTGGTTTGCCAGTATTTTATTGAGGATTTTCGCATCGATGTTCATCAGGGATATTGGTCTAAAATTCTCTTTTTTTGTTGTGTCTCTGCCAGGCTTTGGTACCAGGATGATGCTGGCCTCATAAAATGAGTTAGGGAGGATTCCCTATCGTTCTTTTTTTTTTTTTGGATGAAGAAAGAACTGTTTAATTTTTTTGATGTTTTCAATGTTGATATTTTTTCCAAGAATTAGAGAAATATCTCTGGATGGTTATCTAAAATTTATAATTTTTGTACAGATATGGTATGTAGGAGAGTGTCATAGTTTTTCTATTATTATACTTTAAGTTCTAGGGTACATATGCACAATGTGCCGGTTTGTTACATATGTATACATGTGTCATGTTGGTGTGCTGCACCCATTAACTCGTCATTTACATTAGATATATCTCCTAATGCTATCCCCCCCTCCCCCCACTCCATGACAGGCCCCAGTGTGTGATGTTCCCCACCCTGTGTCCAAGTGTTCTCATTGTTCAATTCCCACCTATGAGTAAGAACACGTGGTGTTTAGTTTTCTGTCTTTGCGATAGTTTTCTCAGAATGATGGTTTCTAGCTTCATCCATGTCCTTACAAAGGACATGAACTCATCCTTTTTATGGCTGCATAGTATTCCTTGGTGTATATGTGCCACATTTTCTTAATCCAGTCTATCGTTGATGGACATTTAGGTTGGTTCCAAGTTTTTGCTATTGTGAATAGTGCCGCAATAAACATATGTGTGCATGTGTCTTTATAGCAGCATGATTCACAATCCTTTGGGTATATGCCCAGTAATGGGATGGCTGATTGAAATGGTATTTCTTGTTCTAGATCCTTGAGGAATTGCCACACTGTCTTCTACAATGATTGAACTAGTTTACACTCCCACCAACAGTGTAAAAGTGTTCCTATTTCTCCATATCCTCTCCAGCACCTGTTGTTTCCTGACTTTTTAATGATCGCCATTCTAATTGGTGTGAGATGGCATCTGATTGTGGTTTTGATTTGCATTTCTCTGATGGCGAGTGATGATGAGCATTTTTTCATGTGTCTGTTGGCTGCATAGATGTCTTCTTTTGAGAAGTGTCTGTTCATATCCTTTGCCCAATTTTTGATGGGGTAGTTTGATTTTTTCATATAAATTTGTTTAAGTTCTTTGTAGATTCTGGATATTAGCCCTTTGTCAGATGGGTAGATTGTAAAAATTTTCTCCCATTCTGTAAGTTGTCTGTTCACTCTGATGGTAGTTTCTTTTGCTGTGCAGAAGCTCTTGAATTTAATTAGATCTCATTTGTCAATTTTGGCTTTTGTTGCCATTGCTATTGGTGTTTTAGTCATGAAGTCCTTGCCCATGCCTATGTCCTGAATGGTATTGCCTAGGTATTCTTCTAGGGTTTTTATGGTTTTAGGTCTAACATTTAAGTCTTTAATCCATCTTGAATTAATTTTTATATAAGGTGTAAGGAAGGGATCCAGTTTCAGCTTTCCACATACGGCTAGCCAGTTTTCCCAGCACCATTTATTAAATAGGGAATCCTTTCCCCATGTCTTGTTTATGTCAGGTTTGTCAAAGATCAGATGGTTGTAGATGTGTGGTATTATTTCCGAGGGCTCTATTCTGTTCCATTGGTCTGTATCTCTGTTTTGGCACCAGTACCATGCTGTTTTGGTTACTGTAGCCTTGTAGTGTAGTTTGAAGTCAGGTAGCGTGATGCCTCCAGATTTGTTCTTTTTGCTTAGGATTGACTTGGCAATGCAGGTTCCTTTTTGGTTCCATATGAACTTTAAAGTTGTTTTTTTCCAATTCTGTGAAGAAAGTTATTGGTAGCTTGATGGGGATGGCATTGAATCTATAAATTACCTTTGGCTGTATGGCCATTTTCACGATATTGATTCTTCCTATCCATGAGCATGGAATGTTCTTCCATTTGTTTGTGTCCTCTTATTTTGTTGAGCAGTGGTTTGTCGTTCTCCTTGAAGAGGCCCTTCACATCCCCTGTAAGTTGGATTCCTAGGTATTTTATTCTCTTTGAAGCAATTGTGGATGGGAGTTCACTCATGATTTGGCTCTCTGTTTGTCTGTTATTGGTGTATAAGAATGCTTGTGATTTTTGCACATTGATTTTGTATCCTGAGACTTTGCTGAATTTGCTTATCAGCTTAAGGAGATTTTGGGCTGAGATGATGGGGTTTTGTAAATATACAATCATGTCATCTGCAGACAGGGACAATTTGACTTCCTCTTTTCCTAGTTGAATACATTTTATTTCATTCTCTTGCCTGATTGCCCTGGCCAGAACTTCCAAGACTATGTTGAATAGGAGTGGTGAGAGAGGGAATCCTTGTCTTGTGCCAGGTTTCAAAGGGAATGCTTCCAGTTATTGTCCATTCAGTATGATATTGGCTGTGGGTTTGTCATAAATAGCTCTTATTATTTTGAGATACGTCCCATCAATACCTAGTTTATTGAGAGTTCTTAGCATGAAGGGCTGTTGAATTTTGTCAGAGGCCTTTTCTGCATCTATTAAGATAATCATGTGGTTTTTGTCTTTGGTTCTGTTTATATGATGGATTACGTTTATTGATTTGCATATGTTGAACCAGTCTTGCATCCTAGAGATGCCAACTTGATCATGGTGGATAAGCTTTTTGATGTGTTGCTGGATTCCGTTTGTTACTATCTTATTGAGGATATTTGCATCAATGTTCATCAGGGATATAGGTCTAAAATTCTCTTTTTTTGTTGTTGTGTCTCTGTCAGGCTTTGGTATCAGGATGATGTTGGCCTCATAAAATGAATTAGGGAGGATTCTGTCTTTTTCTATTGATTGGAAAAGTTTCAGAAAGAATGGTACCAGCTCCTCTTTGTACCTCTGGTAGAACTCAGCTGTGAATCCATCTGGTCCTGGACTTTTTTTTGGTTGGTAAGCTATTAATTATTGCCTCAATTTCAGAGCCTGTTATTGGTCTATTCAGAGATTCAACTTCTTCAAGTTTAGTCTTGAAAGGGTGTATGTGTCCAAGAATTTATCCATTTCTTCTAGATGTTCAAGTTTATTTGTGTAGAGGTGTTTATAGTATTCTCTGATGGTAGTTTTTATTTCCCTGGGCTCAGTGGTGATATCCCCTTTGTCATTTTTATTGCATCTATTTGATTCCTCTCTCTTTTCTTCTTTATTAGTCTTGCTAGCAGTCTATCAATTTTGTTGATCTTTTCAAAAAACCAGCTCCTGGATTCATTGCTTTTTTGAAGGGTTTTTTGTGTCTCTGTCTCCTTCAGCTCTGCTCTGATCTTATTTTTTGCCTTCTGCTAGCTTTTGAATGTGTTTGCTCTTGCTTCTCTAGTTCTTTTAATTTTGATGTTAGGGGGTCAATTTTAGATCTTTCCTGCTTTCTCTTCTGGGCATTTAGTGCTATAAATTTCCCCCTACACACTGCTTTAAATGTGTCCCAGAGATTCTGGTACATTGTGTCTTTGTTCTCATTGGTTTCAAAGAACGTCTTTATTTCTGCCTTCATTTTGTTATTTACCCAGTAGTCATTCAGGAGCAAATTGTTCAGTTTCCATGTAGTTGTTCAGTTTTGAGTGAGCTTCTTAATCCTGTTTGAATTTGATTGCACTGTGGTCTGAGAGACAGTTTGTTGTGATTTCTGTTCTTTTACATTTGGTGAGGAGTGCTTTACTTCCAATTATGTGGTCAAATTTAGAATAAGTGAGATGTGGTGCTGAGAAGAATGTATACTCTGTTGATTTGGGGTGGAGAGTTCTGTGGATGTCTATTGGGTCTGTTTGTTGCAGAGCTGAGTTCAGGTCCTGGATATCTTTGTTAACCTTCTGTCTTGTTGATCTTTCTAATATTGACAGTTGGGTGTTAAAGTCTCCCATTATTATTGTGTGGGAGTCTAAGTCTCTTTGTAGGTCTCTAAGGACTTGCTTTATGAATCTGGGTGCTCTTGTATTGGGTGCATATATATTTAGGATAGTTAGCTCTTCTTGTTGCATTGATCCCTTTACCATTATGTAATGGCCTTCTTTGTCTCTTTTGATCTTTGTTGGTTTAAAGTCTGTTTTATCAGAGACAAGGATTGCAACCCCTGCCTTTTTTTGTTTTCCATTTTCTTGGTAGATCTTCCTCCATCCCTTTATTTTGAGCCTATGTGTGAATTTGCGCATGAGATGGGTCTCCTGAATACAGCACACTGATGGGTCTTGACCCTTTATCCAATTTGCCAGTCTGTGTCCTTTAATTGGGGCATTTAGCCCATTTACGTTTACAGTTAATATTGTTATGTGTGAATTTGATCCTGTCATTATGATATTCGCTGGTTATTTGCCCATTAATTGATGCAGTTTCTTCCTAGCATTGATGGACTTTACAACTTGGCATGTTTTTGCACTGGGTGGTACCGGGTGTTTCTTTCCATGTTTAGTGCTTCCTTCAGGAGCTCTTGTAAGGCAGGCCTGGTGGTGACAAAATCTCTCAGCATTTGCTTGTCAGTAAAGAATTTTATTTTCTCCTTCACTTATGAAGCTTAGTTTGGCTGGATATGAAACTCTGGATTGAAAATTATTTTCTTTAAGAATGTTGAATATTGGCCCCCACTCTCTTCTGGATTGTAAAGTTTCTGCCAAGAGATCAGCTGTTAGTCTGATGGGCTTCCCTTTGTGGCTAACCTGACCTTTCTCTCTCGCTGCCCTTAACACTTTTTCCTACACTTCAACCTTGGTGAATCTGACAATTATGTGTCTTGGAATCGCTCTTCTCAAAGAGTATCTTTGTGTTTTTCTCTGTATTTCCTGAAGTTGAATGTTGGCCTGCCTTGCTAGGTTGGGGAAATTCTCCTGGATAATATCCTGAAGAGTGTTTTCCAACTTGGTTCCATTCTCCTCATCACTTTCCGGTACACCAATCAAATATAGATTTGGTCTTTTCACATAGTCCCATATTTCTTGGAGGCTTTGTTCATTTCTTTTTACTCTTGTTTCTCTAACCTTGTCTTCTCACTTTATTTCATTTATTTGATCTTCAATCACTGATACCCTTTCTTCCACTTGATTGAATCGGCTATTGAAGCTTGTGCATGAGTCATAAAGTTCTTGTGCCATGGTTTTCAGCTCCATTGGGTCACTTAAGGTCTTCTCTACACTGTTTATTCTTGTAAGCCATTCGTCTAATCTTTTTTCAAGGTTTTTAACTTCCTTGCAATGGGTTCCAACATCCTCCTTTAGCTCGGAGAAGTTTGTTATTACCAACCTTCTGAAGCCTACTTCTGTCAACTCGTCAAAGTCATTCTCTGTCCAGCTTTGTTCCATTGCTGACAAGGAGTGGTGATCCTTTGGAGGCGAAGAGGTGCTCTGATTTTTAGAATTTTCAGCTTTTCTGCTCTGGTTTATCCCCATCCTTTTGGTTTTATCTACCTTTGGTCTTTGATATTGTTGACCTACAGATGGGGTTTTGGTGTAGATGATCTTTTGTTAATGTTGACACTATTCCTTTCTGTTTTTTAGTTTTCCTTCTAACAGTCAGGACCCTCAGCTGCAGATCTGTTGGAGTTTGCTGGAGTTCCACTCCAGACACTGTTTGCCTGGGTATCACCAGTGGAGGCTGCAGAACAGCAAATATTGCAGAATAGCAAATAGTGCTGCCTGATCCTTCCTCTGGAAGCTTTGTCCAAGAGGGGCAGCTGCCTATATGAGGTGTCTGTCAGCCTCTACTGGGAGGTGTGTCCCAGTTAGGCTACACAGGGTTCAGGGACCCACTTGAGGAGGCAGTCTGTCCATTCTCAGAACTCAAACGCCATGCTGGAAAAACCACTGCTCTCTTCAGAGCTGTCAGACAGGGACGTTTAAGTCTGCAGAAGTTGCTGCCTTTTGTTCAGCTATCCCTGCCCACAGACGTGGAGTCTAGAGGCAATGGGCCTTGTTGAGCTGCGGTGGGCTCCACCCAGTTCAAGCTTCCCTGGCCGCTTTGTTTACCTACTTAAGCCTCAGCAATGGTTGACGCCCCTCCCCCAACCAGACTGCCACCTCGCAGATGGATTTCAGACTGTTTCGCTAGCAGTGAGCAAGGCTCCATGGCTGTGGGACCTACTGAGTGAGGCACAGGAGAGAATCACCTTGCCTGCTAGTTGCTAAGACCTTGGGAAAAGTGCAGTATTTGGGCGGGAGTGCCCTGTTTTTCCAGGTAGTCTGTCACAGCTTCCCTTGGCTGGGAAAGGGAAATCCCCCAACCCCTTGTGCTTCCCGGGTGAGGCGACGCCCCACCCTGCTTCAGCTCACCCTCTGTGGGCCTGCACCCACTCTCCAACCAGTCCCAATGAGATTAACCAGGTACCTCAGTTGGAAGTGCAGAAATCACCCGTCTTCTGTGTCGATCATGCTGGGAGCTACAGACCGGAACTCTTCCTATTTGGCCATCTTGGAACCCATCCAGGACATCTGGTAGAAGAAATTTGTAAGCAGCAAAGTGTTCAATTTATGACCTGAGTGTTCTTAAAAGTGTTCAGTTGTATGCATTCACAAAAATATGGTTTGGAATTAGAACCTATGTTTAAAAGGGAGCAGAGCATAAAAGTTTGGAAGATTTGCAGCCTGATGATGTGATAGAAAAGAAAACCCATTTTCTGGGGAGAAATTCAAGCTTACTGCAGAAATTTGCAGAAGTAACAAGGAGCCAAATGTTAATTGACAAGATAATGGGGAAATTTTCTCCAGGGCATGTCAGAGTTCTTCACGACAGCCCCTCCTGTCACAGGGTTGGAGGCCTAGGAGGGAAAAAATGGTTTTGTGGGCCAGGCCCAGAACTTTGCTGCTCTGTGCAGTCTTGGGACTTGGTGCCCTGTGTCCCAGCCATGGCTAAAAGGAGCCAACGTACAGCTCAGGCTATTGCTTCAGAGTTCAATCCCCAAGGCTTGGCAGCTTCCACGTAGTGTTGGGTTGATATGCTAGTTGGCCATTTGTATTTTTTTTTTTGGAAAAAATGTCTATTCAAGTCTATCTTAGTCCATTCCTGCTGCTATAACAAAATACCTTAGGCTGGTAATTTATAAACAACAGAAATTTATTTCTTGCATTCTGGAGTGTGAAAAGTCCAAGATTTAGGCTACAACAGACTCAGTGACTGGTGAGGTCACTATATTCACTATACATAGCACCTTCTCTGTGTCCTCACATGTTCAAAAGGGAAAACAAACTCCCTTAAGCCTCTTTTATAAAGGCCCTAGTCCCATTTCTGAGGGCTATGACTTCATGAACTAATCATCTCCAAAATGCCCCACCTCTTAATATTATCACATTGAATATTAGGCTCCAGCATATGAATATTGGGAGAACATTTGGACCATAGCAAAGTCAACTGACCATTTCTCATTTAGGTTGTTTTGTTATTGAGTTGTTGTTCTGTATATATTTTAGATATTAACCCTTATCAGGTATTTGGTTTGCTGGGAGGTTTTTGATTCCTGATTCAGTTACTAGTTATAGGTTTATTAAGATTTTTTATTTTGTGACTTAGTCTTGGTAACTTGCATGTTACTAGGAATCTGTTCATTTCTCCTAGGTTATCCAACTAGTCAGTATATAATAATTCATAGTAGACTCTTAGAATCGTTTTTATTTCTGTAAATATCTGTTGCAGTGTCTTCTCTTTTGTTCCTAAAAGAAGTTGAGTCTTCATTATTTTTTTTCTTAAATATTCTAGCTAATGATTTGTCAATTTTGTTGAACTTTGAAACGACTACTAGTTTCATTGGGTTTTTTCTATTCTCTAGCCTTTTTATTTTTTTTTTTTTGAGATGGAGTTTCACTCTTATTGCCCAGGCTGTAGTGCAATGGCATGATCTCCGCTTGCTGCAACCTCCACCTCCCAGTTCAAGTGACTCTCCTGCCTCAGCCTCCAGAGTAGCTGGGATTACAGGCATGCACCACCATGCCCGGCTAATTTTGTATTTTTTAGTAGAGACAGGTTTCTCCATGTTGCTGAGGCTGGTCTCGAACTCCTGACCTCAGGTGATCCACCTGCCTCAGCTTCCCAAAGTGCTGGGATTACAGTCGTGAGCCACTGCACCCGGCCTTCTGCTCTAGACTTTATTATTTCCTTCCTTTTGCTAACATTGGGTTGAGTTCTTCTTTTTCCAGTTTCTTGAGGTGTAAAGTTAAGTTGCTGATTTTAGATCTTTCTTCTTTTTTAAGGTAGGTAGTTAGATATATAAACTGTCCTCTTCATATTCATTTTGCTGCATCTCACAAGCTTTGGAATGTTGTGTTTCCATTTTTATTTGTCTCAAGACATTTTCTAATTTTCCTTGTGACTTATTCTTTGACTATGTATTAATCAGAGTTCTCCAGAGGGTCTGATCCAATAAGAAATATATATAGATATAGATATAGATATAGATATAGATATAGATATAGATAATAGATAATAGAGATACATATACATGCATCTAAAAGAGAATATATTTACATGTATATGAAATATGATTTATTAAGGAGAATTGGCTCACATAATTACAAAGGCAAAGTCCCACAATAGGCCATCTATAAGCTGGAAAATGAGAGAAGCTTACAACATGGCTCCCAAGGAAGCCAGTGACATGGCTCAGTCCAAATCTGAAAGTCTCAAAACCAGGGAAGCTGACAGTGCAGCCACTAGTCTGAGGCCCAAGGCCTGAGAGCTCCCAAAAGGCTGCTGATGCAAGTCCCAGGGTCCAAAGGCCAAAGAACCTAGAGTTTGATGTGCAAGGGCGAGAGGAGAAAAAGGCATACTGCTCTGGAAGAGAGAGAAAGTGTATAAAAAAGAAATCCAAGCAAGCTGAATGTTCCCATTCTTCTGCCTTTTTGTTCTAGTCACACTTGCAACCAATTGCATGATGCCTACCCACAGTGAGGATGGGTTTTTCTCTCTCAGTCCACTAACTCATCCATCATTCTCCTGTGGCAGCACCCTCACAGATATACCCACACACAGCGCTTCATCAGGCATCTGAGCATCCCTCAATCAAATTGACAATTAATATTAACCACACAGGCCAATTGGTAGAGAGTATATTTTTGTAATTTCCACATATTTATTACTTTTCCTTTTTCCTTCTGCTATGAATTTGTAATTTCATTTAATGTGGTCAGAAAAGATATTTGGTATGAGTTCAGTTTTCTTAAATTTTTAAAAACTTGTTTGTGGACTAGCATGCCATCTATCCTGGAAAAGTCTTGGTATGTACTTGAGAAGAAAGCATATTTTGCTATTATTGGGTGAAGTGTTCTGTATATGTCAGACAGGTCCAATTGGTCTACAATGTTGTTCAAGTTCTGTGTTTTCCAGTTGATCTTCTGTCTGGTTATTGTATCCATAATTGAAAGTGGAATATTGAAGTTTTCTGTTATTATGATGTTGTTATCTATGTTACCCCTCAATTCTGTCTACGTTAGCTTCATATATTTAGATGCTGTACTGTTAGTTGCATATACATTTATAATTGCTATATCTTCTTGGTCAATTGGCCCTTTTATTATTATGTAATATCCTTGTCTCTTGTGCTATTATTTGACTTAAACTCTATTTTGTCTAAGTATGGCCATCCTTGTTCTCTTTTGGTTACCAAATGCATTGAATATCTTTTTCCATCCTTTCACTTTCAACCTTTGTGTGTGTTTAGATCTAACATAAGTCTCTTGCATATAGTATATATTTAGATTTTTTTAATCCATTCGGCCAATTCTTTGTCTTTTGATTGGAAAATTAGCCTATTTGCATTTAAAGTAGTTACTGATAGGGAGGGGCTTACTATTGTCATTTTGTTCACTGTTTTATACATGTCTTGCAGGTATTTTTTTCCACTTTTCCTCTCTTTCTGCCTCCCTTTATGTTTCACTGATTTCTTTTTTTGGTAGGGACGTGCTTTAGTTCCTTTCTCATTTTTATTTGTGTATCTTCTGTAGGTCTTTTCTTTGTGGTTACTGTAGAATTACATGAAAACATCTTATAGTTATAATAATCTATTTTAAATTGACAACAACTTAACTTTAATAACATACAAAAACTCTACTTCTTTACACCTCCTTCTCACTTTGTTATCAATGTCACACAATATATATTTTATATTGTTTATTCACATAATTTAATACAGTAATATTATGCTTTTACCTTTTAAATTCTATGCTTCAATTAAAAGTGAATTACAGGCTGGGTGTGGTGTCTCACATCTGTAGTCCCAGAACTTTGAGAGGCCAAAATGTGAGCATCGCTTGAGCCTAGGAGTTTGAGACCAGCAAGGCCTTATCTCTGCTAAAAATTTAAAAATATTATCTGAGTGTGGTGGTGCATGTCTGTAGTCCCAGCCACTCAGGAGGCTGAGGTGGAAGGATTGCTTTAGCCTAGGACTGCAAGGCTGCAGTGAGCCATGATCAAACCACTGCACTCCAGCCTGGGCAGCAGAGCAAGACTTTGTCTCAAAAAAAAAAAAAAAAAAAGAAAAAAAAGTAAAGGAAAAAAATGTTTTGCTTACCACCATTAGAGTATTAAAGGATTCTATGTTCACTCATATATTTACCTTTACCAAAGAAGTTTATATTTTGTATGCTTTTGTATTTCTATCCAATGCCTTTTCATTTCCACTTGGAGGACTCCCTTTAACGTTTTTTGTAAGGTAGGCCTAGTGGTGATCAACTCCCTCACCTTTTACTTCTCTGGGGAACTCTTCATTTTTGAAGTACAGTTTTACTGGCTATACAGTTCTTGGTTGACAGTTTTTTTTTTCTTTCAGCCCTTTTAATATATCATCCCATTCTCTTCTGGCCTGTAGAGTTTTTGCTGAGAATTCCATTGATAACCATATGGAATCTCCCTTGTATGTGACAAGTTGCTTTGATCCTGTTCCTTTCAAAATTCTAATGTGTCTCATTGTAGGTCTTTTGCAAATTATCCAACTTGGAGTTCTTTGAGCCTCTTGGATTTGTATGTCCATTTCCTTCTTTAAGTTTGAGAAGTTTTTGGTCATTACTTTTTTAACTGGCTCTCTGCCCCTTTATTTTTCTCTTCTCCTTCTGGCACTTTCATAATGCATACATTGGTCTGCTTGATGGCATCCTGTAAGTCTCTTAGGCTGTCTTCACTCTTCACTCCTTTTCCCTTTTGCTCCTCTGACTCCATAATTTCAAATGACTAGTCTTCCGTTTCACTGATTCTTTCTTCTGCTTGATGTTATTGAAACTGCCTTTGCAAAAATTATAACTGAAGAAATTATGACAGCAAAAGATATCAGACTTAATCAACTGCATCTTGCTTCTAGCATTTAAACTGCCCTTGTTCATTCCTGGCAGTAGGATGAACTAATTTTGGTAAGGTATTCAGTTCATGGTTTGACTCTCAAACCAAGTTGATAATAGCCATTTCCCAAAAAGATCCCCTTCTTGCCTGGAACCAGTCTGCCTTTGCGGGATAAACAAATTAGCTATAACATTAGAAATTACAGTTGAGGGGTTATGCAGCCTCTGGCTCCAAGAGTCTGAACCTCTCCAAATTGCTCCTGGGGATAACATCACTATTGTAAAACCTAAAATCAGTGCTTGAGATATTTTGCAGACCCTGCACTGGATGAACCAGCTGACACCACCCAGACTGGTAATATGGCTCAACTAGTTCTGCCACCCCACCCACAAACAGAAGACAGCAAGAAAACATCATCACTTCAACCCCGTATGATTTCATCTCCAGCCTGATGAATAAGCAGTTCCCACTTCCCAAGCCCCTACCTGCCAAATTATCTTTAAAAGTTCTGATCCCCGAATGCTCAGGGAGACTGATTTGAGTAATAATAAAACTCTGATCTCCCGCACAGCCAGCTCTGCCTGAATTACTCTTTCTCCATTGCAATTCCCCTGTCTTGATAAATCAGCTCTGTCTAAGCAGGGCACGAGGTGAACCCATTGGGCAGTTACACAGTCTATTGGTGATTTCCGATAGTGAATTTTTCAATTGAGCTATTGTATGACTTAGCTCCAGAGTTTCTGTATGGTTCCTTTTTGTTTTTTTTTTTTTTTTAAGTTTCTATCTCGGTTAATATTTTCATTTTGTTCATGAATTATTTCCTGCTTTCACTTAGTTGTCTATTTCTGTTGTCACTGGGCTTCATTAAGAGAGTTAATTTGTATTCTTTGTCAGGTAACTCATTTACCTATTTCTTTAGGGTTGGTTTCTGGAGATTTATTTTGCTCCTTTAATTTAGTCATCAGGTTTCTCTCTTTCTTCTTATGTCTTGTTATTTTTTATTTTTTATTTATTTTTGCCAATATTTGGGCGTTTGAAAAAACTGCCACTTCTCCCAGTTTTTATCAGCTGGCTTCATACGGAAGACCTTCATACCTGAATCAGCATGGCTATAGGTTCCAGCAGCCTCTCAAACTCTTTCTGGGAATGCATCTTCTTTGGGTTTATACATTGCAACATCCCAAGTAGAGGTTTGCCAGTTTCTTTTTCTGGAGCTGTTGCTCCTTCTGGTATCTGTCTGTGGTACTGCAGGTTCCCTGGTGCTGCATCATCTCTGACCTCTCCTTTATTCCCAGTGGCTCCCATGCATCCAAAGTATGCCAGTTGGGCGTCAAGTTAGAGAGAGTGAGAGAGCTTCAGGTAACCTCATAAAACTATTCCGTTTCAGTCTTCTCTTTCCCTGCTAACGGAGAAGCTGCAAGTTGAGTGCTTCCCAGCCAAACCAACCTGTTTGAGCTTGGGGAAGGGGTATCATCAGTATAATGCAACAGCTTTTCTTATCTGTTCAATGCCACTATTCTTGGCTTTGCACTTGTCTGTACTACTACAACTTCTTAATGGTTTATGGAACTCCATAAAGGCTTTTAGACCATATATTGTTTTTCAGTTGGTATCTTTATGGAGAATCAAGGTTTGGAGCTTCCCATTCCACCATCTGGCTGACATCACTCTGTTTATATTATTTTTTATTTTTATTATATTTTATTTTCTTGAGACAGGATCTTGCTCTGTCAGCCAGGCTAGAGTGCAGCCTCGAACTCCTGATCTCAAGGGACCTCCTCCCTCAGGCTACTGAGTACTTGGACTATAGGCACACACCACATACCAGGCTAATTTCTTATTTTCTTGTGAAGATGGGGTTTCACTCTGTTGCCCAAGTTGGTCTCAACTCTTGGGCTCAAGCAATCCTTCTGCCTTGGCCTCCCAAAGTGCTAGGATTAAAGGTGTGAGCCCACCATGTACTGCCTGTTATATTTAGTAGAAAATATATCTAAAAATATACTTACGTACTATATTGAATCCACTACCCAGAGCTTAACTGAACTATTTGTGTGACTCATTCTGTTTTTTTATTTTTTGCTTTTTACTTATTACAATGAACTACAAGTATGGATATATTAATATTAATTAATATAAAATATACTGGAATATTTTGTATTTTTTTTTCTTTTTTCTTCAACAAAAGCAGAAACTTAAATACACTGAAATCTTAAATGACCCTTGAATGTTTCTAGGACTGACCCTGGAACAAAATTTTTTATGTTGTTATTACATTGTTCTTTTCATGTTAAAATCATTTGTTTTTTTTCATATAGTGCGTCAAAGAAGAATTGTTAATATAGCCCTTACCAGCCATATGCTAAGTGCCACAGGTGTTTCGGTCTCTCTCCATTCTTGTACCTCACTTAGTCTTTTTTTTTTTTCTTTTGGAGGTGTAGCCTCAGTCTTTCACCCAGTCTGGAGTGTGGTGG
Source organism: Homo sapiens (assembly GCF_000001405.40). Classification (NCBI taxonomy): domain Eukaryota; kingdom Metazoa; phylum Chordata; class Mammalia; order Primates; family Hominidae; genus Homo; species Homo sapiens. The sequence goes on along the minus strand of NT_187383.1, from coordinate 404,384 downwards.
CACGATCTCAGCTCACTGCAACCTCTGCCTCCCGGGTTCAAGTGATTCTCCTCCCTCAGCCTCCTGAGTACCTGGGACCACAGTTGTGTGCCACCATGCCGACCTAATTTTTGTATTTTTAGTAGAGATGGGGTTTCATTATGTTGGCCAGGCTGGTCTTGAACTCCTGACCTCATGTAATCCACCCTCCTCAGCCTCCCAAAGCGCTGGGATTACAGACATGAACCACTGCGCCTGGACTACCTCAATCTGTCTTTTAAATTGGCTATGTAAGGGGAGCATCTTGTGCTTGTTAAGTCTTTGTTTTCTGGCCTATTTATATAATGAACATTTCTGAGTTGTGTGTATATATTAAATTATTTGAGAGTATATAGTTAATGTACTAAATAGATCTATGTGTTTTCATACATGTCACTATAAAAAGACCATTTGCACATATTTGTTCTATCAAATGCTTACTTTTCTTCATGAACCACCTAGATTTGCTTTTCTGATGTGTAGTGTATGTGAAAATATTTCTTTGTGAATTTTTTTTTTATTGTGTGCCCCTGCAGGTGGTATGCTTAATAATGCCATAGTCTCTATAAGGAACGTATGCATTAGTCTGCTGGCAGGAATTGTTTTGGGATTTTTTGTTCGATATTTTCCAAGTGAAGACCAAGTAAATACAAAATCTATTTTATAGAAGTATAGTATTAGACATTTTTTTCAAAATATTAAACTTTGGTAAGATCCATGAAATTTAATACTTAACTCTATTTTTCTAAAACTAGCCTCCAATGCCTACTCTGTATTTAAAACTGAGCACAGCAGTGATTGATACAGGTCAATGGCTTTGATTAAAGTCTCTGCTTCCTGATTTGGCAAATAAGGAATGTCAAAAAATATACTTGATGCAGAGTATCCCTCTGAATTATACTTTCCCTTTCTCTACTAAATTGCCTATTGATGTTTGATAATTTCCCCTTAAACATTTTAGGGGGAGATAGGTTCCCATTTATTTCTGCATATTTTCTGACTGAAATTCACTCCTGCTATCCTTTGACAAAGGCAACACTCAAACTTAGCCATTTCCTGCCTTAAAGGAAAACATGACATTACTTTTGTATTTCTGTAATTTCCATCCAAATTTAGCTGTAGCATATTGACCAAAGAGTAATTCAAATATTTTTTAAGAATTCATTGGATATGTTATATGAAACTGGAGATTTTATGGGTCTCTTTTCTTCTTCACTTAAAGTAATACTTAAACCATTTTACTGATACTAGTATCAGAGATGTGGCAGAAGATGAAACGTTACTAATTGGAAATTTTGTTACTTGGTAGTAAGTCTACTAAAATGTATGGTGAGAAAGAAAATCAAAATTTTAGACATTTAATATAACATTTAAAGACATAATATCAAAAGGTCAAACATATATAATAGATAATGTCAAATCTTGTATTATATATTTAATATAAACTAATTTCTAAATATCTATCTAATTCTAGAAAAAACTTACATTGAAGAGAGGATTCCTTGTTTTGACTACGTGTGTTTCTGCTGTCTTAGGCAGCCAACGTATTGGTTTACATGGATCTGGAGGATTATGCACACTAGTGTTGAGTTTCATTGCAGGGGCAAAATGGTCCCAAGAAAAGGTGAATATTTTTAATATGCTATATTTTAAAAGCTAAGACAACTGAATTTTTTACATATATTTAGGAAATCCCCTCATTCTGGTTGGAAAATATTCCAAAAGATTTGCTATCCTCAAGAAAGTGTATGAATCAATTGAGGAAATAAAATATTTAGGAAAAGCAGCTGGATATATACTAATATGGAATCAGAAGTTGAGTTAATCACATCAGGTTTCTCTTTTTCCCAAGTTTTATATAATATTATTATATTACTTATATCAATCTAATTATTTTATTCATTGAAATTTTAATTATACAATTAATCCATGAAGAATGTTTGTAAAAGGCCAGGCACGGTGGCTCATGCCTGTAATCCCAGAACTTTGGGAGGTCGAGGTGGACAGATCACCTGGGGTCAGGAGTTTGAGACCAGCGTGGCCAACATAGTGAAACCCCATCTCTACTAAAAATACAAAAATTAGCTGGGCATGGTGGCGTGGTGGTGGGCACCTATAATTCCAGCTACTCAGGAGGCTGAGGCAGGAGAATTGCTTGAACCCAGGAGGCGGAGGCTGCAGTGAGCTGAGATCATGCCATTGCACTCCAGCCTGGGCAACAAGTGCAAAACTCCATCACACACACACAAAATAATAATAAACAAACAAATAATAAAAATAGAAATGCTTGTAAAAGAATAAAACATATAGAATAAAATGTAAAAGATTTCTTTATTCCCCACCACTGTCAAATATCGAACCCCTTTACATTTTTTTAAGTAACCAGTATTCTATTTGTAGACATTAAGATCGTTTCCACTTTTTGTTATTTACAAACAGTGCTGTCATAAACAGTGTTGTTCATGTCTTTTTTTTTTTTGAGACAGTTTCACTCTTGTCACCCAGGCTGGAGTGCAGTAGCATAACCTTGGCTCACTGCAACCTCCACCTCCTGGATTCAAGTGATTCTTCTTTTTCAGCCTCCCTAGTAGCTGGGATTACAGGCGCGCACCACCACGCCCAGCAAATTTTTGTATTTTTAGTAGAGACGGGATTTCACCATGTTGGCCAGGCAGGTCTTGAACTCCTGACCTCAGGTGATACTCCTGCCTCGGCCTCCCAAAGTGTTGGGATTACAGGTACATCTGTAGGAATAGAGTCCTAGAAATGATTTTTTTTTTTTGAGACAGAGTCTCTATCTATGTTGCCCAGGCTGGTCTCAAAATCCTGAGCTCAAGGGATCCTCCCAACTTGACAATGCAAAGTGCTAGGATTACAAGCATGAGCTACCACACCTGGCTGGAAATGATCTGTGTTTTATTTTGATGGACACTGCTAAATTATCCCTTCAAAAATTTTGGTTATTTACACTCTGCCAACAGTGCACAACAATATCTAATACCTTAACTCATCAACAGCACTTGATATTATCACTAGTTCTATTCTTTTTACTATTAAATGACCTCACCATCCAATTCTTATAGTTTCTAACAATTATGTGATGTTGTTATTCTTTATTTACATTTCTCTGATTAGTAGTATAGTAAGCTTCTCTTCATATATTCTTTTTAAAATACCTATGATCTTCTTTGACCATTTTTATTGGGTTATTTATTTTTTTGTTTCTAATTTATAGTTTCTCTTAGTGTTAGGGCTACTGATCCTTTGTTATGTATATATTGCATATAATTTTGCTTGTTTATGGTGTCTGGTGTATGAAAGTAAAATTTCCTACGACCAAACCTATTGGGTTTTCCTTTTTTGATTTTGGATTCTGCATCTCATTTAAGAAGGACTCTCTCACTGAAGATTATAACATATAAACATTACAAAGATATACTATTTTGTGTATTATCATTTAATATTTTGGTAGTTTTTGTTTGTTTAATTTGTTCTTTCATTTAGTCTTTTATTCTATCTGGAATTTATCTTTGTGAATTTTGTGAGGTAAGGTTATACATATATACATATGTGTATCTTACAAACTATATATATATACACACACACACATACAGTTTGTAAGTTAACTGAACAGAGATAGAACTACATCATGCCTGATGTGTGTGTGTATATATATATGTATATATATATATACACACACACATAAATATACATACATATTCAGACACACATATATACTTGCATGTGATGAATATGTACATACGTATATATGCACATAAACTAGACAGTCATTTTTTGCCAAATTATTTATTGACCAATTCATTAATAATTCAGTTTTTTAACATGAACTAAATTCTCCCATATATATTAATTCTGAAGTCTATTTAATCCTACTTCTCTATTTCTATGCCAACACCACTGTTTTAAATCACTGCACTTTTATGTGTCAAAATCTAATATAGATTTTACTTCTTTTTAAAGTATTTTTTGGCTGTTCCTACACATATTCTTTCTTAGATAAATTTTAGAATCAGCTTGAGAAATTCCCTAATCAAAAATCATAGTGGCATTTTGCTTAGTATTCTTATATAATCATAATTATAAAAGAAATGAATGAAATGCAAATCAATAAATAAAATTAAAACTGCTAGAATTTTTTTAAATGGTAAAAGACACAGAACTAAAACAAGTTTTAAAGATTAAAAGTAACAAACAGGATAATTATGCTGTAAAGAGTAGTAACATCGTTTTTCTTTGTTTTTCTTTTTTTAAACTATAATAAGTGGGGATCAGAAAACACAGTCATAAGGGAAATAGTTATAAAGATAGTTTATGCCTCAAGGAAGAGACATCAAAGTTCTTATGTATCTTCTGTTTAAAAAAAAAATTAAACCCAGACTGAGACTGAAATCTCTTCATCCAAATTCCTGGAGAAGAGCCAGAGTAATGTAGGCCAATAGGGGGCCTTTCCTGTAACCTTTTAATTGGGGAAGTAGTACTGGGAGGCATTCGTTTTCAGAAAGGGAAGCCGGATAGGCAGCTAAATGAGAATCTAATATATGTTTTCTTTTGTTTTGAGGAAAAAGTAACTTTAAAGTATTCAACACGGGTTCTTTGGAAGCAGGCCTAGTAGACTTCCAAATTGTTTTTCCTAGTAGTATATGCTATATATATCAGGATTCACTTTAATGGGATTGAGTTCCAGGATGGTTGTTAGTGGAAGGCTTCCCAACCTCCTTCTGAGATCCCAAATGTTTGCATGAACTGGGTATGTTCTCATCAGGCATGATGTAGTTCTATCTCTGTTCAGTTAACTTAGAGACAAAATCTAGAACTCATACGAAACATGGCTAGAACCCTAAGGACATCACTTATTCTGTGACAAAATGGCCAAATAGTATTATTTTATTGCTTTGTAAGTTTCTTTTAATCAAATTCTACCTAAGTGTTTAAGTAAAACTATTGAAGTGCTCAGTTTTTATTAATTAAGTTTAACATTTTTATTAAAATAAAGTGTATTAAATTTATTAAATGTTAAGTGACTTTAGGCCAGGCATGGTGGCTCATGCCTATAATGCCAGTGCTTTGGGAGGCCACAGCCAGAGTCCACTTGAAGACAGGAGTTCTAGACCATCCTGGGCAATATAGCGAGACCCCGTCTCTATAAACAATTTAAAAATTAGCCCAGCATGGAGGTACACACCTGTAGTTCTACTTGGGAGACTGCGAGAGGATCACTTGAGCCCAGGAGTTCAAGGCTACAGTGAGCTAAGATTATGCCACTACACTCCAGCCTGGGCAACAGAACAAGACCCCATCTCTAAAATACTTAAAAAGTGAAAAAAAAAAAGGTGAGGGAGAACTTAACTTTCTGAAATATATTTATGTGCCAAAATAATTATAAATGTATTTCTCTTTTCTATAGATGAAAGTCCAAAAGATTATTACAAATGTATGGGATATTTTTCAACCACTTCTTTTTGGTTTAGTTGGAGCAGAAGTATCTGTTTCATCGCTTGAATCAAATATTGTTGGTAAGAATAAATAGAGCACAAAAAATATGAAATTCAAAAATATTTAAGAAAATTATAAATGCATTTATTTTTATTTACAATATATCTTTGAATGGCTACAAGGACCTTCTTCAGAAACACATGTTGATACAGTGTCATATTTTCATATTGCTCTTCCTTTACACTGTGTGCTCTTTCTTTTTTAAACCAGGAACAGCCCTGAATATCTTCCCTGAGTTATCTAAGGAAATAAATATAAGATTTCTTTCCTGAGGGAACATATTTGATACGATCAGCACTTTTTGAGTACTTTCATTTAAAACTATTGGCTGGGTATGGTGGCTCATGCCTGTAAACTTAGCACTTTGGGGGGCCGAAGCGGGCACACTTCTTGAAGTTAGGAGTTCAAGACCTGCCTGGCTAACATGGGGAACCCCATCTCTCCTAGAAATACAAAAATTAGCCAGGTGTGGTAGTGCGCGCCTATAATCCCAGCTACTCAGGAGGCTGAGGCAGGAGAATCACGTGAACCCGGGAGTCGGAAGTTGCAGTGAGCTGAGATTGTACCACTGCACTCCAGCCTGGGCGACAGAGCAAGAATCCTTCTCAAAAAGTAAATTATTATTAATAATAATAAAAGTATTCAAAAAAAGTCTATTAGTTCAGAATTGTATAAATGTCATCTGTCTTATTTTTCATGGAACCTCCACCATCAGATACTGTCTTGCACTTTACAGAGAATCCTCCATCATATTCATTTTTTATTATCATTATTTTATGTAAAAATTAAACACATGAAGAGACAATAGCCTTAAAATGCTTTCGAAAGTTTTAGAAATCATATTCCTGGGCATAAAGAACACTTCTTCACAAATATTTTGTTATTTATGTTTGTTTTCATCTGTTGTAGGCATATCTGTTGCCACTCTTGAGTTTGGCATTATGTGTTCGAATTTTAACCACATATCTATTGATGTGCTTTGCTGGTTTTAGTTTTAAGGAGAAAATATTTATTGCTTTAGCATGGATGCCCAAAGCTACAGTACAGGTAAGAACATATTAAGCCTATTGCTTAATGCTTTTGTTTTGATGCTTTTAAAATTTAAAATGAAAAATGTTACTCCAATCACAAAATATGAGCTATTGTCCTTACTTTTTAAATGTTTGATTGATCATAACTATTCATTAAAATTAACGTAACCAGTCCCAGCTACTCAGGAGGCTGAGATGGGAGAATCACTTGAACCCAGGAGGCGGAGGTTGCAGTAAGCTGAGATGGCACCACTGTACTCCAGTCTGGGTGACAGAGCAAGATTCAATCTCAAAAAAATAAATAAATAAACAAAAACAAACAAAGAAACTCAATGTAACCTTTTTCTATTTTTATTTTTATTTTCATTTTGAGACCAGGTCTCACTCTGTCACCCAAACTGTAGTGCAGTGGCATGATCACGGCTCACTGCAGCCTCAACCTCCTGGGCTCAAACAATCCTCTCACATCAGCCTCCTGAGTAGCTAGGATCACAGTCACCTGCCACCATACCCAACTGCTTTTTTTCAGATTTTTTTTTTTTTTTGAGACAGTCTTACTCTGTTGCCCAGGCTGGAGTGCAGTGGCATGATCTCAGCTCAATGCAACCTCCACCTCCCAGGTTCAAGCGATTCTCCTGCCTCAGCCTCCTCAGTAGCTGGGATTACAGGTGCACACCACCACACCCAGCTAATTTTTGTATTTTTAGTAGATATGGGGTCTCATCATGTTGGCCAGGCTAGTCTCAAACTCCTGACCTCAAGTGATCTGCCCACCTCAGCCTCCCAAAGTGCTGGGATTACAGGCATGAGCCACTGCACCTGGCCTTTTCTTTCTGATTTTTTTGTAAAGAGGAGGTCTTGCTATGTTGCCCAGGCTGATCTTGAACTCCTAGGTTCAAGTGATCTTCCTGCCTCAGCCTCCTAAAGTTCTGGGATTACAAGCATAACCCACTGGGCCCAGCCAATGTAACCTTTTGAAATCTCAGTTTTAAAAGCAATTATTTTGAAATCAAAAAGTATTCTTTCAATAAGTACTTCCTAAGTTTATGAAAATATGTTTTTTATTTTCCTAAAATATATAATAAGAATATATCTGAAAATTGGAGTTTTTATATTTTGCTGAATATAACAAAGCTAAATGTTATGATTTTAAAAAGTAGAGACACAGGCCAGGCATGGTGGCTCATGCCTGTAATCCTAGCACTTCGGGAGGCTGAGGCAGGCAGATCACTTGAGCTCAGGAGTTCAAGACCAGCCTGGGCAACATGGTAAAACCCCCGTCTCTACAAAAAATACAAAAAAATTAGTCAGGTGTGGTGGCACGCACCTGTAGTCACAGCTACTTGGGGGCTGAGGAAGGAGGATTGCTTGAACTCAGGAGGTTGAGGCTGCAGTGAGCTGAGGTCACGCCATTTCACTCCAGCTTGGGTGACAAAGTGAGACCCTGTCACAAAAAAAAGTAAAGTAAAATAGAGACACATTGATTTTTTTAAAAAATACTTTTCCTACCTTGCCACTCACTCCATCACACAAATGCACATATATTTTTTTAATTACACATTTATTTGTATACTATTTGGTTAATGGCTAAATCCCTGCCCCCGCCCCCTTGATAGACTACGTAAGGACAGGGACAGTGTCTGGTTGTTGCCGTTGTTTTTCATTATTTCTCCCTGGCACTTAACACAGTGCCTGACATGCAGGAGGCAAATACGTATTGCATGCCTGCAAGGATGAATGAACGGAAAGGGAAACCTTGTAATTTTGCCCTGTTATTCAAGGATATTCTCCTCCTACTAAAATATATTGCTACTTCTTGTTAGACTGTTTAACTTGGCAGCATAATATACCTTAATTTCCTGTGACTCTTTTCTTAGTTGTTATTCCAAAACAGAAGCTCCTAAATTTTCATGCAAAAAAACCTCTATTATCATGTTAGAAAAGCAGGTTCATAGGGCCAGACTACCTGTTTTGAATACCATGTTACTTGCCTATAACCTCAGGAAAATTATTTTCTAGTCTCTCAGTCCTTCAGTGTTCTCATCTTACAATGAAGTCTATGACTGTATCTGTTTCTTAGCAGTGTTGTCAGGATTCAATGAGATAATCCATGTAAAGTGCTTAGCACTCTCTCTGGCATATGGTGGTGCTCAGTTAAAAAACAATGCTGTTATTTTATCTTACCTTCAAGAAATATAAATAATAACTTTTTATTTTTAATGTCTACTCTAGGGAATAATAAATCTGCAAAAGGAGTATCTGTTCTCTCTCCTTCCAACAATACTCTTGCAATTTTGTTTCATTATTTCATAATTTTCATAAAGCAGGGAAAAAAGAAAAGCTGGTATGAGGAAAGAGACCACTCACTCGAGTCCTGCAGTATTATTCTGCTTCTGCCTATTCCTGTCTGCTGGCTCCAGGCTAGCTTCTACAAAAAGAATATCAGGCTGGTTCCAGGAACTGGCAAGACATAAAAAATTAATTATTTATACAAGTAGAGTCACAACAGCAATAATAGATAACAATAATGTCACAAGTAAATACGATCAACAAATATTTAAATTTCAATTTTAAATTATTTTCACCTTTATCCTCTTCCGCCGTTCTCTGCTGCTAAAATAAAATTGGCTAAGGATCATCTTTCTCTTGTTCCTTAGTTTTGAGTTACTGATAAAAATTAGACTGGAAAAATAGAAGCTATTAGGAGAGTAAATAAATAATTTAATTTACAAATGTAAGATCAGCTTGGCAATTGGATTTTTTTAAAGAAATAATATTAAATCTCAGTCACTAGGAGGAAATCATTTATCATCTAATAAAAGTCCTCACATAATAAGGTTGTCATAAGAATTAAATGAATTGATAAATGGAAAGCTTTAAGAATGATACCTGACATATGATGAATGCCATATAACTATAAAAATATTATTTCTAGTTTCACCATTATCGTCATCATCTCTTAAAAGTCAATGGGTTTGGTTTTTGTTTTTGTTTTTTCTGTTGGCAGTTCTTTTATGTTCAAATCCTCTTCTAAACTGTAAGATTCTTTCAAGGTGGTTTTCTGCATGATTATTTTTTTCTCCCTAGCATCCTCCAGCATACTGGATCATGTTCAGTACATTGAAAGTTATGATATAAAAATAATACCATTTTAAATTATTGATTTAGGATATAGAAATTGATCTTAAATTGAGGGGTTCTTTTGCCATAATGTTCCATATCAGAGGTAATGTTTCTACTATTATGTTGTTACTTTGCAACTCCATCGAAAATATGTTATATATTGGTATTTAATTCCCCCAAATTTTAAGGCAATTTCATGCCTAGTTATTAAACACAAGGAAAGAGAGTTAGCAAGAAATTTGCTTTATGTTATTAAAAATAATGTGGTAGAAGGTAACTAGGGAAAAAAACCTGTGACCCAGTAGAGTCATTCTAAAACAAAAACTTCAAAGGAACTCAATCTCTGACCTGGCAGGGGATGAGGAGTGAAGGAGAAAGAAACTTACTACTATCTGAATACCTACTCTGTGCCAGGTATTCTTCACATCCTAATATTTAATTTTCACAACCGTCCAGTAAGATAAGTATTTTGTTCTTCGTTTTACACGTAAGTAAGTAGAAGGTTAGAGAGTGTGAGTCATTTGTACAAGGTCACTAGCCTGGTTGAAGCAAAAATAGAATTCAAACCCAGTTTGCTAGATTCCAAGCCTGCTGTCAGTTCTGCTATAACCCAGTGCCCCCTGAATAAGGACAACAATGAGAAGAAGGGCAACAAATCCTAGAGAACCAGAAGAAAACTTAATATTTTATTTTGTCTTCTTGTAGTCAAAATCCACTGGTACACGATAAAGGCAACTAAGCAAAACCAGTTTCGTTAGAACTCCTGGTGTTATGAGGGCAACACTCAAAAGAGATATTTGAATAGAGGAACACTGAGAGGACAAGAGTGCAAAATCAGCCGAAAAATGTTTGCATGCTGATTTGTCACTATTGTACTCTTCCTCCACATATATTTGCTAGGAAGAACATGGAACTGATGAGTAACTTATGAAAATTACTGAGTACTTTTTTTTTCTAATAGTCTAGTACTAGATTTTGTTTATTTTAACAGAGCCATTTACATTATATATTAACTCAGTTTAATATTTTTCTTTATGCCCCATTTTTACCCCTAAATGTAGGCTGTGTTAGGTCCTCTGGCTCTAGAAACAGCAACAGTCTCCGCACCCCACTTGGAACCATATGCAAAGGATGTGATGACAGTAGCATTTTTAGCCATCTTGATCACAGCTCCAAATGGAGCTCTACTTATGGGCATTCTGGGGCTTAAAATGCTCACACGCCATTATGATCCAAGCAAAATAATACTGCAATTGCCAGCATTAGAACATCATTAAAAAGTTTACCTGTCATCATCTGCCTACTTCTTTTAATGAATTATTTCACATGACAGAAGAATTTTAAAGTAGAAATATGTAGAAAATCCAGGATTTCGGTACAGGGCTTTTCTTGGACTTTTTACTCCAAAGTTAATTTAATAAAAATAATATTAAATGGAATGCTGTCTTGGTATTTACATACTGTAAGAACAAATTAAATCTGTAAATACCCTAGGAAAGTTTAAAGTAATCCCTCAGGCTGAATTTGATATCATAATGCAAACTGAGCTTAATATAAAATTAAACAAACTTAACGGCAGAAAGAAAAACTGAATGTTGAACTTGGTAAGATAGCCTAAGTTTCCAAATAGGAGGAGTAGAACTCCCTATGATATCCAGTAATTCAGTTAAAAAGATCACTACAAAAAGAAAAAAAAGGGAGTAAAACACATCAACTTTAAATGGGTTAACCGAATAGATTTTAAATTCTGGTTTTGTTGACTACCTGAATAAATAATATGTTAAGTAATAGAACCAAGTTAGTCTTTCCTTATTTCTGCCATGCCCTTAAAATGAAAGTCTGGTTTAGCGGTTTTTAGTTGAAACACTATCTATATTTTTATTTATAGAAATAAAATTAAATCACAAATGGAAGTAAACTATATTTTTTTCAATTAGTATTTTAAAATCTAGACATAAAAGGCAGCCTCCAAAAATGAAAGACTTGGAGACTACTGTCATGTGGCAGTTTCTTCTCCTTAGTAATATAAAATTACCTTTTAATTCTGGCTGATTAAATCTGCCATGTTAATGTAGAACCCATCACAAGCAAAGTGAGTTTTAGTTAACTTCAAGACTCTTTATTTTAAAGTTATAAGAGTCATATAAACACTTCTAAAATGGCCTTATTGAATGGCATTTTAGAAATTCTTTAGACTTCTTTGGCAAAAGCTCAATGCAAGGACTGAATATTACTTTCATTCCTCTTTTTCCTCTTCTCACAAGCAAGATATTAAAATACCACAGAATATGAAATTTACACATACATTTGCCAAGTGAAGCAATTAAAATTTAAGGCAATCAAAACTATGTGTTATCCCTATTAAGACTAAGGGCGTTTACAGAATATATCACCGAAACTGCCAAAAGTTCTAAAACCGTCTGGGAAATAACTCTTAGAAAATACACTCTGGGAGAATAACTCTGGGAAAAGATAAAATAGCTACTGTTTTAGTGACATTTTCTCTTTATAGTTTTACAACAAAGTACAGACTCCATTTTCAAATATTGTAATTCTAGTACTCAAATTCTAAAAATTTAAACTGTGCCAGTGTTTTGACTACTATTTAAATCATGAGGACATCTCATTGTCACTTATAAAAAAATAAAAATATAGGCAGGGTGTTGTGGCTCATGCCTGTAATCCCAGCACTTTGGGAGGCCAATGCGGGCAGATCACGAGGTCAGGAGTTCGAGACCAATCTGACCAACATAGTGAAAGCCCGTCTCTACTAAAAATACAAAAAATTTGTCAGATGTGGTGGCATGCACCTGTAATCCCAGCTACTCAGACGGCTGAGGCAGGAGAATCGCTTGAACCCAGGAGGCAGAGGTTGCAGTGAGCTGAGATCACACCACTGCACTCCAGCCTGGGAGACAGAGCAAGACTCTGTCTCAAAAAAAAAAAAATAATAAAATATATGTGTATATATATATATTTACAAGATAGTATTTTACATTCACAAGAGGATTAGATTTCAAAGTAGAAAGTTTATTTTAATAAAAGAGAGATAAGAAATAATTTTCAAAATGAGGAATTGTGTTTTTGATTAGGAGGAAAATTGTTGTACCTTTTCTTTTTATTCTTTATTTATTGAACTTTCTCTAAGTGTCTGTGATATATGTTTATAATACTGAAATAGTCGCCGTTTTAAGGTAGTGTGGCAGATGTTGTTATTTATTTGAAATTTTAAGTTTTTTATTTATAAAAAGTTTTTATAAAAATTTATTAATATAATTTAAAAATTACAACCAGTTAACCATGTGTATGATATTAGTGTTTATAGTATTTAAACAAATAAGGCTGGGCACAGTGGCTCACACCATCCCAGCACTTTGGGAGGCCAAGGCGGGTGGATCAGGAGGTCAGGAGAAGGAGACCATCCTGGCTAACATGGTGAAACTCTGTCTCTACTAAAAATACAAAAAACTAGCCAGGCATGGTGGTAGGTGTCTGTAGTCCCGGCTACTCGGGAGGCTGAGGCAGAAGAATCACTTGAACCTGGGAGGCAGAGGTTGCAGTGAGCCAAGATCACACCACTGCACTCCAGCCTGGGTGACAGAGTGAGACTCCATCTCAAAAAAATAAAATAAAATAAAATAAAATAAAAAACAAATAAATACAAGATTGTTGTTTCTTATAAACTTTTTTTGTATCTTTGCCTATTTTTTTCACTGTTTAAGGAATTTTTATTAAAGCAAAATTTTATAATCCAAATTACCTTTCCTTGCTCAGTTATCAATTCTGTTACTTAAAACAGAAGTGACATTCTTAGCTATTCCACACTAATGAATTACAAAATTAAAGGAATGCTTTAAATTTTTATACTTTGCTGAAAATTATTTATCACAGAGTCTGAAAAGCATTACAGTGTTTCTATATTTTATTATTTTGGGAGGATTTTTTCTTTTCAAATCAATAAGTAATCTAGGACTATCATTGCATTTGTTAGATCTGACATCTGCTTGGTATGTAAAGTTCAAAGTTTCCTTTTTAAATTTATTTTATACTTTACAAATTTTTTCCATAGTATTTAAGGTTTTTGATATTGAGATATTTTTCTTCAGTGATGCTCAAGTTTCTTTCTGTGGTCCCTGATCAGTTTTAAACAATTGGAACACCAGTGGCACCATTAACTGCTTTCTGGGCAGCCTCTTTAGCTTGGTGGTCTTGTAGTACAGCTATACCTTTGTCAACCTTAGTATAGAGAGGCTCTGGAGATTCAAGCATATGAAGGAGTTCCAAATTACCAATCTCCAACAACATACCAATGATTTTACCAGCACGACTAGGGCATGGCTTGAAGAAGAGGAAACAGCCATTCACTCGTTTCCTTTTGCTTTTGAGGAGGAGCAGATGCCATCATGGAAGTCAAAGGTTCTTGACCTTCTACATGAACAGCAGGCTGCTTCAAGGTAACCTGGGGCTGTGCATGAAAATGCCATTGAGGATTGTGAGCTTCCATAGCATATTTATACTGTGAAATGGTACAAAAAGCAGGAGTATCTGTAGTAGCAGTAGCGGCAACTGCAGGATGTGCTCCTATTGTCTGTTTCGATGGGTTACAACAGCTGTGTTGACATGACTCATGGAAGCTATGAAGAAGCTGGTCTCTTACTACTAAATGTAGTGAGCTAGGAGCGGCTTGGGCATATTTTTCAATGGATGAGGTCTGGCACCCTGAGCAATTTAGGGAGGATTTGAACTTAGTTGAGCAGTTTGGCTAGGAGAATACTTTGCAGCATGGCTCTCAGTCTGTGGGATAACTGCCATGAAGTCAATTGAAGAAGGTGCTGGCTGATAGGAACTGATTCCCAGGTTGAGCATAGTTTTTACACTTGCCATTCTTTGCACATACTGCACTGGTTAATGAGCTGAGCCTGGTGCTCTTCATTGCTTTTCTTCCCATGGAGTTAACACTATATACAATGGCTCAGTGCCCTCAATGCTACCATTCATTTCTGAAAGTCCTTTAGTTGCTTCCTCTGGAGAGGAGAAACATACACAAATCAAACCCTTTGTTGTGACAACCATCCTTCATAACCTTTGCATTGGTGATTGTACCAAGTGGAGAAAGTTCTTTCCAGAGACATTCATCAATACCATCAAGATTTTTTGCATAAATGTTAACACTTTGTTATCTGGTGATCCTATACTGCTTGATCTTTTCAAATTTGCACACAAGTTCCATCTGCCATTCTACTTTTTTTCTGAGCTTGACCAACATCAATTTGTTTTCCATTGAGCTTCTTTCTGTTCATCTCATCTGCGCATCTTTATGCCTTTCAAAGCTGACAAATCCAAAACCTTTGGGTTTTCCACTTTCATTAACCACTACTATCACACTTAAGACAGATCCCAACTTGCCAAAGAGATCTTTAAGGCACCTACCATCCATGTCTTCTCCAAAAATCTTCCTGTAAACATTGGTGAACTTTTTAACTCTGAGTTCTGCTTCTCATTGTTTACAAGACTTAATCCAACAAAGACTTTGCTATCATTTAGAAGCATCCATTTCATTTTTGAATAGATCTTTCAGCTGCTTCTGTGTCTCAAAATGTACAATGCCATCACCCTTGAAACTGTTTTCACCACAAAGCACCTAATGTGAAAGTGATAGAGACAGGAGGCAGCCAAGGGTCCTCTGGTAAAACACCACCTTCAAGACTAAAACAGCCTGAAGGCTGATAAACTGGACTGCAGGTCCTGGTTGAAGCCGCCCTTTCCTCACTGATTCTGAATAATGCCCACCTGTGCACTGGGATTACGGGGTGGAGCCTTGGGAAGTTTGTGCGGTGTGCAGTGGAGAGGAGTCTGGCCTGTTCCCATGTAGTGACCTAGGATTTAATCTATGAGGCGGGAAACCTGCTAGCAGGACTCTTTCTCTCTTTGCTGAGAGTTATTTTTGCTTTTTCCTTTCCACCCAATAAACTCCGTTCCCCCTCACCCTTCAAGTGTTTGCGTGCCTTTTCCTGGTGGTATGACAAGAACCTGGTTTTTTCTGCAACAAAAAGATGTTACCAAAAGCAGATATATCATGCAATGCTTTATAATCAATAGATTTGTCCAATTTTTTTATGAACATGTTGCCCACTCCATTTTTGCGGAGTGATGGATCACACCGAGACCACTTAGTGTGTATTGGCTAGTCTTTTATAACATCAAAATTCATGGGGTCTTAACCACATTCCACATCCTGCGTTTCCCAAGGAGCGCCGGTGATCTGGTTCCTGTAGCCCGGGATAGAGAGGACCGGCCAGCAGGCCTGGTCATGTGCGGTGCGAGGACAGGGGATGGCTGGGACGCTGGGCTCACCTCTGCACCTGTCTGCCGGTAGGGCCACAGGCTGCGACCTTTCCGTGAAAGGAGAGTAAGGGCTGGGGCGGAAGCCTGGGCCAGCGCACAAACACAAAATCACCTGGAATCCCAAACTACTCCACGGCCGAGGAACTGCGACCCGCAGAGGGCTGGGACGAGGGTGGCGGTGTAGGGTCCAGCGTCCAGGCCTCGGGATCCTGTTCCTTCTTGAAGCTGCTTCGGAGCTGCGAGGGGGCGGGGGGGTCGCTCTCGGCTGCCTCACCGGGTAATCTTATACAAGAAGAAAAGGAAAATGTCTGTGGCAGTGAAGACAAGGATTTTTTTGTAAAGTGTTTTGCAGGGGTGACCGGTGTTAAAACAGAAACCTTTTTTTTTTTAAGTTTTTTTCATGGGATGTTTTTCGGGGGAATGGATTTTTCAAGATAATAAATATGTGCTGATCCTGGAGAACACACTCCACACTCTCAGCACTAACCGCTTGGGAGAAGGGACCCATTAATGTTTAATTGTACCTTCTCTTGTGGCCCCATTTTTTCCCTTTTAATTATGTAACATTGGAGCCTACAGAAAGGTAGAAAAAATGGGCACCCACATAACCACCACCTAAATCCCATTAATTGTTAATATTTTGTCAAGTTTTCTTTATGTAATTTTTCAATTTGAATTAAAAGTAAATTATAGGCATCATGCTAATTTGCCTCTGTATACTTAAGCCTGCATATTCAAAAACTAAAGCCATTTTCTTGCATAACCACAATTCCCTTATCCTTTCACACCAAGTTATCAGTAATTCCTTAAAATTATTCAACTCCCAAATATTTTCAAATATAAACAGTCATGCCCCATGTAACACATTTCAGTCAACTAGTCGACCATCTACACTGTGGTGGTCTCATAAGATTAAACTGGAACATATATAGAAACTTGATAAACAGTATATGGCCCTTGATATGGCATTGCAGCTCAAGTAGAGGAATGACTGATGCTCAGTAGTGGTGCTGGAACATTTGATTTTCCTTATAAAAAATAAATAAGTGAAAATATATAGGGCCAGATGTAGTGGTTCATGCCTGTAATCCCAGCGCTTTGGGAGGCCAAGGTGGGCAGATCATCTGAGGTCAGGAGTTTGAGACCAGCCTGGCCAACATGGTGAAACCCCGTCTCTACTGAAAATATAATTAGCCTGGTGCAGTGGCAGGTGCCTGTAATCCCAGCTACTCAGGAGGCTGAGGCACGAGAATTGCTTGAACCTGGGAGGCTGAGGTTGCAGTGAGCTGAGATCGCACCAGCACTCCAGCCTGGGTGACACAGTGAGACTCTGTCTCAAAAATATACGTATATACACCATCTAGGTTTGCATAATTACACCCTATGATTCACATTTTCTTAATTTTTTCCCAATTATAGCAATTTTTAAAAGCCAGGATCCAATCGAGAACTGGACACTACATTTTGTTTTTGTCTCTTATTTTGTAATCCAGTAGATTTCTCCATACTTAATCCCTTGCTAAATGGCATAGACTTTTTTTTTTTTTTGAGACGGCATCTTGCTTTGTCACCAGGCTGGAGTGCAGTGGCGTGATCTTGGCTCACTGCAACCTCTGCCTCCTGGGTTCAAGAGATACTCTTGCCTCACCCTCCTGAGTAGCTGGGATTACAGGTGCCTGCCACCACGGCTGGATAATTTTTTGTATTTTTTTTTTTTTTTTGAGACGGAGTCTCGCTCTGTCGCCCAGGCTGGAGTGCAGTGGCGGGATCTCGGCTCACTGCAAGCTCCGCCTCCCGGGTTCACGCCATTCTCCTGCCTCAGCCTCCCAAGTAGCTGGGACTACAGGCGCCCGCCACTACGCCCGGCTAATTTTTTGTATTTTTAGTAGAGACGGGGTTTCACCATGTTAGCCAGGATGGTCTCGATCTCCTGACCTCATGATGCACCCTCCTCAGCCTCCCAAAGTGCTGGGATTACAGGTGCGAGCCACCGTGCCCAGCTGGTATTGACATTTTAAAGGAACCATGCTAGTTGTCACGTAGAATATCTCACATTCTGGATTTGTGGGACTGTTCATGGTTTCATTAAGTTTGTTTGTCTATCCCCTCAATTTTCTGAAGTTTGAAGTTAAATTTAAAGACTTGGTTACATTCAGGTTAAATTTTTTGGCCAGAATCATTCAAAGGTGATGTCGTATACTTCCAATAGTGGCACATTATGAAGTTTATGTCTGGTTGTCCCACTGCCAGTGATGCTAATTTTCATTCCTAAATTAAGGTGGTGATTGCCAGATGTCTATATTGTAATGGTATATTTTCCTCTGTAATTAGCCAGTGATCTCTGAGTTTATACCTTGGTACTACATGAATATTCATTTTTCATCAAATTTCTCAAAATTAGTAGACTTTGTTTTTTAGAGCAATTTTAGGTTTACAGAAACCAATGAGCAGAAAGTACACAGAGTTCCCATGTAACACTACCTTCCTATCCCACTCTCCACCCAATCCCTACCTCTGTACACAATTTACCCTATTATTAACACCATGTATTAATGTGGTATATTGGTTACAATTGATACATATTGATACATTATTATAACTGAAGTCCATAGTTTACATTAGCGTTCACTCTTTGTGTTGTAAAGTTCTGTGAATTTTGACAACTGTATAATGACAGATATCCACCAGTATCATACAGAATAGTTTCATCACCATAAAAATCCTCTGTGTTCCACCTATGTATCCCTCTCTTACTTTCCTCAAATTGCTGGAAACCACTGATGTTTCTACATTATAGTATTGCCTTTTCCAGATAGTCATACACTTAGAACCATGCAATATATAACCTTCTCATGCTGGCTTCTTTTACTTAGCAATATACATTTAAGTCTTCTCCATGTCTTTTCTTAGCTTAATATCTGATTTCTTTTTAGTGCTGTATAATATTCCCTTGTCTGGATGTACCACAGTTTGTGTAGCCATTAACCTACTGAAGGATATCTTGGTTGCTTCCAAGTTTTGGCAGTTATGAATACAACTGTTATAAACAGCCATGTGCAGGTTTTTAAGGTTTTAACAAACTCTCTCTGGCAGTTTCTGTTTTTCCTCACTTTTCAAGCCCATGGGCTATCTCCCAGTGCTGTTCATTTTAATATTCTGCAGAGTACTTAAGCATTACAGAATATAGAAGCTGGAAGATACTTGGCAGTCATTTAGTCCCTCATGTTCTAGATGAGAAAACTGAAGCCCAGATAACTTATTATTTGTGCAGTCCCCCAATCTGAGTGTCAAATCCACCTCTCCCAGTTGTTTTCTGTTCAAATAACCCTGTGAACTTCAGTGAACCTCACTGACCACATCATCATTATTCACCAATAGTTCCCCAATAGATCCACTCTACATTAGCTCATTTCAAATGTTCTTTTCCTTTCACGCACATACCATACAGTACTTAAAATTCTGTTGACAACAATCAATATGAATTCAAATTAAGTTCTTGCCCCAAGGATGTGACTTCTACTACACAGTTTCTTTTGGCCTGAGGGCAATTCCTAGGGCATGAACTTAGTCATATGCCCTCAACAGACAGCACTCTAAGGAAGCTGGGGAATGAGGGTCTCCATTCTGCAGGGAGGCCTGGACTACACACCACAGAAGACACTACTCTGTCCATCCCTCATGTCATTTGGATCCATGACTTCATATAACTTCTTTCCATCTAGGAATAGCTCCTCCAGGATTTTGGTTGGTTTCTTTTGCTGGGGAAACGTGAAAGTAACATTCATGGAGGGAAAAATAGCTCCTTGGCTCTTCAACTGGTCTTTCACCCTAAACTGATCATCTGCCTTTCCTACTATACAGGTACTATCAGGTTTACATTCTTACCCTCAGCTAGCACCTCCACTGGTCTAGGTCACTTACCTGGTGATAGGAGAGGGGGGTGTAGTAGCCATGGCTACTAGACTTGTCTTTTTAAATTGAGCAATCAAAATTTAGTAAGGGACTACTTAAACATCCCTTGGCTGCCAAACACATTCCTGTCTACTTCCGTTGTGTAACAGCATTGAATTGCAGAGATAAGAAGCAGAAATTTCCCAAGTGAATTCCTGGGGGTGACGGTAAATAGTGCTACTCTTTCTTCAATCCATGGTCCTCTTTCTATTAGCGACATGGGACCATATAATGGTTACTGATCTAGGATATATGCTTGTATCCCATCCCTGCAGCTTCAAAGGGCTACTGGAGTCTGTTCCATCACTCCATCAGTTTGACAGCTTCTAGTTGTTGTGATTTCGTGATTTGTATTAGGATCACTGAAATGCATTTTCATGTGTCCACCACTGCAACTGCAGTGCTACAAAGTACATTCCCTTTATACAGTGCTATAAAGTACAATGCAAGGATGTGTAGGATTCCATATTGGAGGATTAAACATTCTGTCAACCCTTGGATAGTGGTGCTGGTTGAGGCCATGTAAGTAGGAAAGATAAATCCATACTCAGAATAAGTATCAGTTCCAGCCAAGATGAATCATTACCCTTCCTGTGATGGAAAGAATCCAGTGCATTCAGCTTGCCACCATGTGGCTACTTGGTGTCCTTGAGGGATGATGCTATCTTGAGGCCTCAGTGTTGCTCTGTCTTGATGACAACTTTGACATTCAGAAGCAGCAGTAGCTAGATAAGACTTAGTCAGTGGAGACTTCTGCTGTTTGGGCCTCTGCATAACCTCCATCCTTGTCACTATATTTATTCACCAATTGTGCCAGTACTGAGCTGGCCAATGGAAGAGGTTGGCTAACATCATCTGGCTGAGTCACTTTTCTCCTTGGTTGTTGATAGATACCTCTTGTAGGTGTTAACATGTGAAACAAAGATCTTCATACTTTTTGTACATCCCCATAAGTCCACCTATATGTCCTTTTCTCAGATGTCTTTTTCTCCAGTCTTCCAAATTTTCTCCTTCCATCCCCCTGACCTGTAGCCAAGCCATTTGACCATGAGTCAGTACATTCTTACTTTGAGTCTCTTCTCTTTCCATGCAAAGTGAATGACAAGGTGCGTAGTGCAAAGTTCTGCCTACTGAATTTTTTTTTTTAATTTTTTTTATTTTTTGAGACAGAGTCTTGCACTGTCACCAGGCTGGAGTACAGTGGCGTGATCTCAGCTCACTATAAGCTCTGCCTCCTGGGATCATGCCATTCTCCTGCCTCAGCCTCCCAAGTAGCTGGGACTACAGGTGCCCGCCACCATGCCCAGCTAATTTTTTTTGTATTTTTTTAGTAGAGATGGGTTTTCACCATGTTAGCCAGAATGGTCTCGATCTCCTGACCTCATGATCCACCACCTTGGCCTCCCAAAGTGCTGAGATTACAGGTGTGAGCCACTGTGCCTGGCCAAGAATTTATTTTTGAGTTGAATTTTTAAATATTAAAAAATTTTAAATATACAAACAAAAATTGTATATATTTGTAGTGTACAACCTGATGTTTTGAAATATGGATACACTGTGAAATGGCTAACTCAAGCTAATTAATACATGTGTTACCTCACATACTTATCATTTCTTTTGTGGTGAAAGCACTTAAAATCTACTGTCCTACCAATTTTCAAGTATGCAATACATTGTTATTAACTGTAGTCACCATGTTGTACAATAGGTCTCTTGAACTTGTTCTTCCTGCTTATCTTAATTTTTGTATCCTTTGACCAACATCTCCCCAGTTCTACCTTCCTTCCCCTCCCCTAATAACCATTATTCTCTTTTCTGCTTCTATGTGTTTGACTTTTTTAGATTCCACATATAAGCGAGATTACATGGCATTTATCTCTCTGTGCCTGGCTTATTTCACTTAATATAATGTCCTCCAGTTTCATCCATGTTATTACAAAAGACAGGATTTCCTTCTTTAAGGCTGAACAATATTTCATTATGTATATACACACCACATTTTCTTTAATCATTCATCTGTTAAAGGATACTTAGGTTGATTTCATATCTTGTCTATTGTGAATAATGTTGCAATGAACATGAGGTACAGATTTTTCTTTGACATATTGAATCATTTTCTTTGGGTATATAAATAGTACTAGGATTGCTGGATCATATGGTAGTTTTATTTTTAACTTTCTGAGAAACCTCTATATTATTTTTCATAATAGCTGTACTAATTTACATTCCTGCCAACAGTATACAAAGGCTCCCTTTTCTCCACATCCTCGCCAACACATGTTATCTTTTGTCTTTTTCATAGTAGCCATTCTAAAAGGGATGTCTCATTGTGGTTTTGATTTGCGTTTCTCTGATGACTGGTGATGTTGGTTATTTTTTCATATTCCCGTTGGCCATTTGTATGTCTTCTGTGGAAAAATGTTTATTCAGGTACTTTGCCTCCCTTTCATTAATCAGGTTATATGTTTTCATGCTATTGAGTTGTATGAATACTTTATATATTCTGGATATTAATCCTTTATCAGATGTATGGCTTGCAAATATTTTCTCCCTTTTTGTAGGCTATCTCTTTACTCTATTGATTGCTCCCTTTGCTTGCACAGCTTTTTAGTTTGATATAATCCCACTTGTCTATTTTTGCTTTTGTTGCCTGTGCTTTGGGGGTCATATCCAGAAAATCATTGCCCAGACCAGTCTCATGGAGCTTTTCCTGAATGTTTTCTTCTAGTAGATTTATGGTTTCAGGTTTTATATTTAAGTCTTTAGTCCATTTGTGTTTTTTTTTTGTATATGGTATGAGATAAGGGTCTAATTTCATTTCTCTGCATGTGGAGTTCTCCCAACACCATTTATTGAAAAGATTGTCCTTTCCCCATTGTGTATTCTTGGCATATTTACTGAAAATCAATTGGCCTTAAACGTGGATGTATTTTGAGGCTCTCTATTCTATTCCATTGGTCTACCAGTCTGTTCGTATGCCAGTATCATGTTATATTTTTGATTACTATAGCATCATAGTATATTTTGAAACTGGATAATGTGATGCCTCCTACTTTGTTCTTTTCGCTCACAATTTGCTATTTGGAGTTTTTTTGTGGTTTCACATGAATTTGGGGACTTTTTTCTGTTTACATAAAAAATATCATTGGAATTTTGATGGAGATTACATTGAATCTGTAGATCACTTTGGGTACTAAGAACATTTTAACAGCATGAATTCTTCTAATCCAGGAAGATGGGATATATTTCCATTTATTTGTGTCTTCTTCAATTTCTTTCACCAATGTTTTATAGTTTTCAGTGTACAAGTCTTTCACCTCCTTCGTTAAATTAATTCCTAAGTATTTGTGTAGCCATTATAAATGAAATTGCTTTCTTGATTTCTTTTTCAGATAGTTCATTGTTAGTGTATACAGATGCTACTCATTTTTTTATGTTGATTTTGCATCCTGCAACTTTACTGAATTAATTTACTAGTTCCAACAGTTTTTTTTTGGTGGACTCTTTAGGGTTTTCTACATTTAAGATCATGTTGTCTGCAGAGACAATTTCACTTCTTCCTTTCTGACTTTAATGCCTTTATTTCTTCTTCTTGACTAATTGCTAGAACTTGAATAGAAGTGGTGAAAATGGGCATCCATCTTGTTTCTGATCTTAGAGAAAAAGCTTTCAACTTTTTACCATTGAGTATGATGTTAGCTGTGGGCCTATCATATATGCCTTTATTGTGTTATATGGACATTGATACCTAATTTGTTGAAAGTTTTTATTACAGAAAGATGTTGAATTTTGTCAAATGCTTTCTCTGCATCCATGGAGATATTCATATAGTTTTTGTCCTTCATTCTGTTAATGTGTATATCACATTTATTGATTCGTATATGTTGAACCGTCCTTGGGAGGATTTAATCTACTGCTATCTTTCCATAGCTGAAGTAGGTTGCTATCATTTTTTACTTACATCCGCATCCTGAGTTGATCTTCCAATGAACAAGCTTAGCTTTTTTCCTCCTTTAGCAATATTGGAACTCCCACATAGGCAGAGTTGCCAGCTGAGGGAGAGAATCTATTGTCACAATTTGGATAATGTGGGGACCTGGATCACCTGATCATACTGCTTACTTGTGTCCTCTAGTCTTTCTCATGCCCAATCCTTGATGTGATATGGTTTGGCTCTGTGTCCCTACAAAATCTCATCTCAAATTATAATCCCCACATGTAGAGAGAGGGACCTGGTGGGAGGTGACTGGATCATGGGGACAATTTCCCTCATGCTGTTCTCATGATATTGAGTTCTCATGAGAGTGGATAGTTTAAAAGTGTTTGGCACATCCCCCCTTGCTCTCTGTCTCTCCTGCTGCCTTCTGAAGAAGGTGCTTGCTTCACCTTTGCCTTTAGTCATAAGTGTAAGTTTCCTGAGACCTCTCCAGCCATACGGAACTGTGAGTCAATAAACCTCTTTTGTTTATTAATTACCCAGGCTTGGGTAGTTCTTTATAGCAATGTGAAAATGGACTAATTCAATGTGCTACTTCTATTTTATTATGATTTGTTGCTGGGCCAGCCTGTCCTTATGATCTGGTAGATCTAACAAAACCAAACTCATGGTGGGAACTTTTAGCCACATGGTCACTTAATATTTGTTGTCAGATAATCCATCTCTACCTAGGTGCAGTAGCATGCTAGGAGCTATTAAAGTACACAATTATGCTATATATTTATACAATATACAATTACTTGCAGAGAGAATGACCATGCCAGTGAACCCCACAAGACTATGTGTGAATCGTCTATTAGGGTTTGCTATAAACTCTACATGGTGCTTTTTCCAACTGCATATACTTCTAATACCATAGAGCCTACTAGAGTGTATGGCTCAAACAGTAGGGCTGCTTGCCCTGTATCCTGGACCTGCTGCAGAGGCCTTTTCTGCCCTAAGCTTTTGTCAAAGGTGGAAGCCTTCTGTGTCACTCAGCAAATGTGTCAGAACAGTATTCCTTAGTATAGGGGGACCAATGGGCCCCCTAAAATCTTCTGTGACTGATGTCACAGGTCCTTAAATCTTCAGATGATTTTCTCTCTCAGGGATGCATGTGTCTCACTAGGCCATCCAACATGCTATTTCTTACCCAGTCTATTTTAACTGGTAAATAAAATGGACAAATGTAACATGCTACAGAATGTCCAGACAGCTCACGTCTCTGGACTACATTAGGACAGAGAGTCAAAGAACTAATATACATCTTGGACAAGTCTCTAAATGCATGCTGTTGTCTTTCCCATGAATGTGAATTGCTTCTGGTAAATTTCACTCTAAGTACTGCTTCAGTTATTTTACATATATAATGATTGGTAATCTTTTCATTTTAATTCAATTTTAAGCATGTTCTAATTTTTGTTATAATTTCTTCTTGCTTCCATGAATCATTTGGAAGCTGTTTGTAGTTTCTAAAATTCATGGATTACTTTTGGATAAGTTTTTGTTATTGATTTCTAATAGTGCTATTACACATTTGTTATACCAATGTAAACATTTGATACTACCTTTAGGCCTAATATCTGGTCAATTTTTGTAAATACTCCAAGTGTGCTTGAAAAGAATAGAAATTCTTTAACTGTTGATTAGCCTTACTAATTTTACGTTTATTTATTCAATTACTAAAAATGAAATGTTAAAATCTCTCACTGTGTAGATTTTTTTATTGCTTTTTCCAATTCTAATTTTGGCTTTATTTATTTTGAGACTACATTATTAGGTATCCACAATTTTATAAAAATTAAGAAAAAATTAGAAAAGTTTAGAAAAAAATTAGAAAAATATAGAAAATGATGTGACAGAAGCACACATGGGCTTTATCTGGATGATCTCTTGTCAGGTTTGTATCCTGGGGAAGGCCTTCACAGCAAGAGATGGACCAGAGGTTTGAGACAAGGGGGCCACCACTCAGAAGGGGAGGAGGGCAAAGGAACTCCTGAGGGAGGAAAGTATCAGAGAGGAGGCTTTCATGTCTCAGTGATATCACTCAGCAGCATGGCATGGAGTCTGTAGTTCACAGAGTTCCAAAGAGCAGAAGCAGCTTGGGGTCTTTACAGCCTAGAGTTTATCTGTGGCAAGCAGATTTTGGACGTAGTTTCCCAGGGCATGTAAATCAGGCAGGCTCTAAATGCCTACAGATCTGCATGTCTGGGCTATGTTTAACACAATTGGATGTTTAAAAATTTGAGTTTGGTGCCAGTTGGTTTTTGAGCTAATGGGTTTCAGCTTGCTGTGAAGAAATAACCTAGGCGCCAATACACAGAGGCCATCCTTGTCTCATTTACATTATATGCAGTGACTCTATCCTTTTTTGCTCACAATTGTTTTATTCATTTCTTTTAGATTTGTTTACTTTACTGAGATTATTTGGTAGGTAAGATTTCAGTTTATTGTAGTTTGCTAATTCATTATTCAAAGTGTTCTAATAAAAATTTTGCTCCATCCTTAATCCCCATTTAAACAAAGCTGCTGTGGGTAAGGTCATCAATGGCCTTCGTGTTATCAAATCCATTTTGTTAACAAAATTTTAATGTTTAAAATTTTCTTATGTGTACACATGTTTAATTTATGTAATTTCAAAACGGGGTATCATACATGGAATTTGGTAGTTTTCTTTCCTTTTTTTGTTCACTTACTCTGTTTTTTAATGCTTTACTGTAACCCACAATGCAATGTCCCCAATATTTATTATGTATAACTGATATTCACATAAAACATATTTTGTCATTAAGTGTTATCTTTTTCCACATAGGTGTTCCTGTCTTTAGTCTTCTATTTTCTCTCTCTCCCGCTTCTCTCCCACCCTTCCTCTCTCCATTTATGTACATATTTAAATCATTTTAAAAATCATTTTATGTATCAGTTCAAAGCCTTCAGTGTAAATTGAGGGTCCAATTTTGTTTTCTTTGAATTGTTTATTTTCATATATTAATTTTTCATCTACATGTAGATTCTCAATTTTTTACTACTCTTGCTTATTCTTAATTAATACAATTGTTTTTCTTAATTGATCAATTCCAATAGTTCTATAGTAGGTGCTGATATCTGGTGAGAAAAGTTCCTCTCAATAGTCTTTTTTTGGGTAAAATGTCCTGACTATTCTTCTACATGAACTTTAAGATAATTTAATCCAATTTTAAAATGCTTTTGTGATTCTAATGTGAATTTAATTGAATTTATATATAATTTTAGGAGATTTATGTTTTTACAAGAGTTTTGTTTGTTTTTTTGAGACAGGGTCTCACTTTGTCACCCAGGCAGGAGTGCAGTTGTGGTATCTCAGCTCACTGAAGCCCCAAACTCCCACCTCAGCCTCCCAAGTACCTGGTTCTATAAGCATGCGCCAAGCCCAAATAGTTTTTTGTTTTGTTTTGTTTTGTTTAGATATAGCGTTTCACAATTTGCCGAAGCTGGTCTTGAACTCCTGGGCTCAAGCAGTCCTCCTGCCTCAGCCTCCCAAAGTGCTGGGATTACAGGTATGAGCCACTGCACCTAGCCCCATGTGTTTCTTATTTAATAGCTTTTGTTAACATTTTTATAGTTTTTTTCTTGTAGATCTTCTTTCTTGGTAAATTTATTTTACCTTTATTATTTTTGTTATTGTGAATATTTTTACCATTAGCATTTCAAGGTGCTTATTGCTAATGTATTTTGTATTATGATCTTATTTCCAAATACCTTACCAATATTCCTCTTTAAAATATTTGAAAGTTCTGTTTTTCCTAATCTCTATGATTTGCTAGGCATATAATCATATCCACAAAAAGTTTTCTCTATATTTATACTGATTATTTCATTTAAAAATCTTGTTACATTCATGGATCCTCCAAGATAATCTTTAATAACAAATAATGACAGCAGCTATTCCTACTGGTTCCTTGTTTTAATTGAAATGTTCCTTTATGATTTAAAATACTTATTTTGTAGGCATTTCATAAATAACGGCTATGTTTAGACACTTTCTTTCAATTTCTATTTTACTCAAGAATCTTCATTAGGAGTGGATGTTTAATCTTAACAATAGCCCTCTCAGCATCTATTGATATAATCACATTTTCCTCTTCTTTGATGTCAATTATGTAATTGTGTTAATATACTTAACTGATATTGAAATACCCATGAATTCCTGAAATACAATGCTCTTTGCATACTGTATTACTCTTTTTTGTTGTTGCAATTATTGATAACAGTGCTGGGTTTTTATTTAGAATATTCATTCACATGTATAAGTCAGATTGGTCTATAGTTTTGGTTTTTTTGTTTGTTTTTATTTTTGTTTTGAGATGGAGACTTGCTCTGTCACCCAGGCTGGAGTGCAGTGGCGTGATCTTGGCTCACTGCAACCTCTGCCTCCTGGGTTCAAGCTGGGATTACAGACATACACCACCATGCTGGGCTAATTTTTGGATTTTTAGTAGAGACGGGGTTTCACCATATTGTTCAGGCTGGTCTTGAACTCCTGATCTTAAGTGATCCACCTGCCTTGGCTTCCCAAAGTGCTGGGATTACAGGTGTAAGCCATGGCACCTGGCCTATAGTTTTGTCTTATGTTTATCAGGTTTTCATATTAATGCTGCACTGCCTATGTGAAATGAATTGGTTTTTCTTTTTTAAAAAAATTTGGGATACTTTAAATAACATTGGAATTATCCTTCTTGCAACCCTAGTACTTTTTAAATTATGGATTTAAAAAATCATTTTACATTATCTTCTTTGTAACTGGTCTACTAACATTTTTAATTTCTTCTTGGATTAGTTTTGGTCATTTATATTTTTCCAGAAAATTACCCATTTTCTCTAGATTTTCCAATGTGTGGTCATATAGTTGCATGCAGCATTTCAAAGTGAATCTTTCTTTTTTCTTTTCTTTTTTTTTTTTTTTTTTTTTGAGATGGAGTCTTGCTCTCTGGCCCAGGCTGGAATGCAATGGCATGACCTTGGCACACTGCAACCTCTGCCTCCTGGATTCAAGTGATTCTTCCACCTCAGCCTCCCGAGTAGCTGGGATTACAGACATCCACTATCATGCCCAGTTAATTTTTGTATTTTTGTAGAGCGAGTTGTCACAATGTTGGCCAGGCTGGTCTTGAACTCCTGACCTTAGGCAATCTGCCCACCTTGGCCTCTCAAAGTGCTGGAATTAATTACAGGTGTGAGCCACCGCACCTGGTCCTCAAAGAGAATCTTTCTACCTTCATCTTATTTTACTTCTTGGTAGCATTCTACAGAGTTGAAGATTGTACTTGTGAGTTTTGAGTTTCTTGATTTGTTGAATGGATGTGATTAATTTATATCTTTAGTGTGATCATGCAGAGAAATGTATGAGAGATAGTGATGGAAAATTACAGGAAATCTGAAAATTTAATAAATTGTTGGCATTTTTATTTTCTCACTAGTACAGGGTTCATCTCAGTAATTATGAAATGTACTACCCTTTTCTCCTTTTCTATCTTATTTTGGAAAATTACAGCCTTATAATAGAGATCAGAAATGTGTTAACATTATGGCTGATCTATCTGACAACAGTGTTCTAAGAAAACAGTATCACAAATATACTTTCTCACCATAATTGTTCAAAACAGAAATTTTGTAAGCAAAGAATCAAGCATTTAAACCAAAGGAAAGTTAGAGTGATGTCATCTCTGGTTGAAAAACACAGTCTTTCTGAACAGATTTTCAATGTCCTTCAAGACCATAACTAATATAAAATTACAGAATACGTTTGCTAATAATATGAACTGTACACTTTTTATATGAAAATGATGCTTGCTACAACATGACTTAACTAAACTGGATTTCTGCAAAAGATAAAACACCAGGCATGGTTGCTCACACCTGCAATCCCAGCACTTTGGGAGTGCTGAGGCAGGGAGGATCACTTGAGTCCAGGACTTCGAGACCAGCCTGGGTAACATAGTGAGACTCTGTCTCTTAGGAAAGTAAAAAAATAGCCGGGCATGATGAAGCATGACTGTAGTCTCAGCTACTTGGGAGGCTGAGGTGGGAGGATCACTTCAGCACAAGAGGCTGAGGCTGTGGTGAGGTACGATTACGCCCCCGCACTCCAGCCTGGATGACAGGGCCAGACTTTGTCTCAAAATATATGAAAGTAGATAAAATTAGTTTACTTGCTGAACATAATCAAATATAGCAACTTTCCAGTAAAAGACTATTAGGACAAACTATGTTAACACAACCTCAGATGATGCAGCATAGTTAAAACAAAACAAAACAGCTTTGGGCATATTCTATACTCCAACCTCTGTGGTGCAAAGGGACTATATGGCCAACTAGGTGTTGAGGCGGTCACAGAACTGCTGCACATGTGGTTTTTAAACAAGATTTTTAATTCCCCCTAAAGTGGAAGAAGTCATCTAACAAAATTTATTATGACTTAAATTGCTACTTCTTTATTTAGTTTTTCTCAAACTTTAACAAAATAAATTATGTAGTAAATTATAGTCATTAAGCTTGAAAAATGTTTCAATTGAATGGGAAAACTTCCTGTGATAAAGCCTCCAATCGTCAAGGAATAAGTCAATATATTTTACCCATAAATTTTCCAACATGTTAAGCACTAAGCTTTTAACTAAATAGCTAAGGTGAAATTGTTGCCACTGAATGCAACACATATACTGCCTTTTTAAATAACACCTACTACTTATCTTGATTCCAATTCATCACTAAACATCACTTGTATAATTTGATCACAGTGATGTCCTCAGAGACGGTTGTATGCAGAATCCTATAAATTGTCTCAAGCTGCTATGTTTTTAATGTTCACCTTAAGTTTATTTTTGTTCCCATGCCTTGCTGTCAGCTGTCACATTTTATAGTTCACCCCTTCTGCAAGACCCTTTCGATACTTGTGATTTGTTAGGAAGCAGAAATCAGATAACCTAACTTGTTAGAATTCTATGTGAAGTAAGAATAAGTAGACTCTGGGTAGCTGCTGCCTCTACCATTAAAATTCTTTAAAAAGGAAGACTTTTCAGTTACCACTTAATTTGAACTTGACTTACCTAGACTACTATTAGTTGATATTAGTTTAACAGAGGGAAAATTGTTAATAAAGTAGATCTAATATGTAAACACATATATTATTCCCTTGTTCTGGATCTATCAATGATTTCATACTTTGACTATATCTAAATTATCTGCTTTTCCTGGCCTTCAAAGTGGTCTTTAATTCAGCCCTGCTTTCCATGGGTTAAATTTCCTACAATGCTGAGATGTTTATATTGGTTTCCTCCTGTCCTATGAAATTTGTACTGATTTCTGCCCCAATAAATTTGATTAGATGAAGAAAAAAATACTTTTTTTTTTTTAAGATAGGGTTTCACTCCTGTTGCCCAGGCTGGAGTGCAGTGGCACAATCTTGGCTCACTGCAACCTTGGCCTCCTCAACTCAAGAGATTCTTGTGCCTCAGCCTCCCGAGTAACTGGGACTACGGGTGCGCCATTGGTGCCCGGTTAATTTTTGTATTTTTTTGTAGAGATGAGATCTCACCATGTTGCCCAGGCTGGTATGGAACTCCTGAGATCAAGTACTCCACCCACCTCAGCCTCCCAAAGTGCTGAGATTACAGGTGTGTAGTCACTGCACCAAGCCAATGAGGCAATCACTTCTGAATAAAGTACAAGCATTAGTAACATCTCCCCTGGTCTCTCCAGATTGGTTATGCTGCCACAACTGAATTCTAAATGGGTTAAGTGTTATACAATTAGTTAAGTTTCTTTGGTAGGTATCAAATAAAACATCCACCTAAATTCTTAAGAACCTTGTTAAATAGTGCAATTTACAAACTCTTTATACAGATTCTGATAGCACATTTCTATTGGAAGACTATGGAATCACAATGAGGAAGGTAGTACTATATAGATCAGCAGCTGGCTTAATTGGCTTCCTGTAACTTATTAACAAATTAGGTTACAAAATACAAAGGCAACTTAATGAATCATCATATTTGGCATTGAACTCAAAGCTGAATTGTGTGAATTGTGAGATGCTTTCCATAATTCAACTTGCTTAATTACCCATATGAATTAATCATTCATACCTCAAGCCTGCTAACACTTTTGGATACCTGATGTTTATGTAATGGTGGTGCTCATTTGCTGAGTAAGGCATGAGTAGTTTCCTAGGTAAGCAGAAGTAGCCGTCAAAACAATCATAATGTGACACAGTAACAACAAGGCTGTATTTTGAAGGCTCTAGAAACCCAAGACGTATTTCAAGAGTCAAGTTACTTTTTCTTTTCCTTTACCACTTATCCTCAAGTTCTACAAGTTACTTATACTGTATCAATTCAAATACATTTGGTTATTAGATATCTATTTTTTAAAGATGGACAAGATAAAATTGTGTAAATTTACAAGAAGTAATGGAAACTGCTAATAATGCTTATTTAAAAGAGTTATTAAAGCAACAGCTTACTACCAACTGTAGGCTTCTGAAAAATTTGCACAAGTGGGAAAAGATATGGGCATAGCATATTTTAACAACTGAAAATGTGGCAGGGAAAAAGTCTTTATTCTGAGAGTATAACCATCTTACTTTTGGGGTATTAAAATTACCTTTTATGAGATAATTCATTTTCAATGTTATTTGACAAAATTCAAAGTTGGTCATTCATTTTAGTCTCCTCATTTTTAGTAAATTTGCCTCCTGTAAAATCTAAGTTATGGGAACGACTAGAACATGTGTGAAAACAAGTTGCTGTGAGACGCAGTGACAGATTTTACAAAAAGAAAAGCATTTCATGACCACAGACCAGGATATCCAAAATTTTGGTGAGCTGGATTTTTTCCAAAGTCTGGTGACCAACTGTGGAAAAATAATTGGTTAATCTGACAGTGAGGCCCCTTAACAGTATTGAAGAAAATGTATCCAAAAAAGTGCCCAGAGTCAAAGAAGTGAGAGCAATGCTGTATTTATCCCCCACTGACATGTGAGGAAAGAGCAATAATTTTGGACATACACCTTGTAAAACTTCTCAGAAACCAGACTACATTTCTAACTCTAAAATACATGCTGCTGGTCATGAAGATGTTCTGATCATATAATTGAACCTACTGACATTACATGTAATAAATTAAAAACACAAGTACCATGCTTAGTGTACTGTCTGGTACATACGAGTTCTCAATAACAATTAGTTTTATTTCTAGAAGGATTACCTCTGCCTCTTGTACCTTCTTATAAAAAGAAAGCAAAGTGAACTGAATAAATTGTATCTTAAATAGACTAAAGAAAAGCTTTTGTATTTGTCTTTTCTCAACTAAGCAGTTTCCATAGTGCCTAGCAAGGTCTCAGAAATGTACTCAGTGAAGAGGGTTAAATGGTAACTCTTTCAGAACAGAAAGGATTCCCTACAGAGTCCAGCAGAGGCAGAGCACTATTTTGCCCAGCCTGGCCTTGAACTCCTGGGCTCCAGCACTGCAGCCATCCTCCCACCTCAATCTTCTCAGCAGTTGGGACTACAGGCCTGTGCCATGGCACCTGGCTAAGGATAGCTATTATGAGAGTAGTAATGTAAGATGAAACTAAAAAGACTCATAATAGTAGGATTAAAAAGCACAAAAATTTTAAAGATTCTCCGGTACATTTATTTCACAAACTTTTTTGTACAGTTGACCCTTACACATGGGTTTGAACTGGGTGGGTACACTTATGCGCATACTTTTTTCAATCAAATGCAGGTGAGGTCACACAGATCAGCATTTGTGCATGGGATGTGAAACTCATGTGTACGGAGGGTCAATTGGAGGGCCAACTTTTCTACATATGGGTTCTGCAAGACGTTCTGTGAGACTTGAGTATGGGCAGATTTTGGTATATGTGTGGCCCTGGAACTAGTCCCCAGTGTATACAAGGGATGACTGTATTTTAATGGTTTATAGTGTTAAAAAGAGAAAAATGTCCATGTAACCACAATTTTGGACACTGAACTATTTTAATATGAATTAATATGTCTTATATTTATTACCAATTGATCTTCAAATTGCAGCAGCCCATGAGTTAGGTTTTAAGTGTTCTTGCCATTCCACCCCAGCTCTCACTGAGTCAAACAGTTTAAAATATACACACACAGAAGCAGACACAAGCCTTTTGTAAAGTAAACAAATCTTTTTTACTGTAAATAACTGTTCCTCAATGGAACTTTTTGTATCCAGTTTACTCTTTTCTAAAGCTGGGATATTCATATTAAATACCCAACAACCTCTGTAAAGCAAAGAGTCTATCTCTGTGAAAACACAAGTAATTCTTGATGGCAATATTTTTCTTTTTTTTTTTTTTTTGAGACGGAGTCTCGCTGTCGCCCAGGCTGGAGCTCACTGCACACTCCGCCCCCCGGGGTTCACGCCATTCTCCTGCCTCAGCCTCCCGAGTAGCTGGGACTACAGGCGCCCGCCACCTCGCCCGGCTAATTTTTTGTATTTTTAGTAGAGACGGGGTTTCACCGTGTTAGCCAGGATGGTCTTGATCTCCTGACCTTATGATCCGCCCGCCTCGGCCTCCCAAAGTGCTGGGATTACAGGCGTGAGCCACAGCGCCCGGCCCAATATTTTTCTTAATTCACCTAAACAAATGCAGTTTGGAAGGCCAAAAGGAGAAAAAAACACTTCAGATTATCAAAACCAAAAGAGATATGAAAAAATAACATATTTAACAATGTAGGTGGGAATTTTAAATACAAGATCCTGTTGAAAATATTGATATTCAAAGAAACAAACAGCTTTGGATCCATAGCCACAATTTAGGTTTTCCTAGATTAAAATCAGAAGTGATTTTATTGTTGGAAGATACATTAATTCTTTGAAATCAGAATAAGAGGCTTGACAATTTAATTTCTAATTAAGAGACTGAATAGACAAAGGATCAAATACAAACAGTAGTGCAGGAAGAAAATAAATTGGAAGAAATATTTGTTCAACCAGTAGTAATAATTAAGACCACCATTTTAAAATTTTCTATACACAAAGAATGAGAAAATATTGTTAAAATATTATTATTATACTTCTTTCTTTTTCAGTATTAGTGGACCCACATTATCTCCTGTCAATTCATTGTGTTTATTATGTGAATCATCACGGGCAGGAAACTAAAAAGAAAAAAGAATTACAAGTGTTAATTTTAAAATATGATTCATTAGGTAGAAACATTTGTGAAATGCTCTCAGAAAGAAAGAATATCACTTGCTAAAAAAAAAATCAGATCGTTTTCCTGAGTAATAGTTACATTTTACATCCAACTGAACCATATTCAAAATCTAACAATTTAAACAGTTACTTCATTATTTGGTTTAGATTTTAAGTAAAAACATATGAATGATTCCATATGAGTGATTAAAACAGACAACAGGTTTAAAAGGGAATCAAATAAGTTATTGGTCATTTGTGGAGCTTAAAATTCCAGCTCACCTATTGCTTAATTTTAAAACAATGGACTTTAATTCAAAATAAATTATAATTTTTTCTTGCTATAAAACTCATGCATACCACACAATTTTTGAAAATAAAAATATATTTTAGGCTGTGTGCGGTAGCTTATGCCTGTAATCCCAACACTTTCAGAGGCAGAGATGGACAAATCACTTGACATCAGGAGTTCAAGACTAGTCTGGCCAACATGGCAAAACTGCATCTCTAACTAAAAATACAAAAGTTAGCTGGGCGTGGTGGCATACGCCTGTGTCTCGGGTACTTGGGAGGCTGAGGTGGGAGAATTCCTTGAACCCAGGAGGTGGAGGTTGCAGTAAGCTGAGATCATGCCATCGCACTCTAGCCTGAGTGACAGAGCAAGACTCTGTCCCCGCAAAAATAAATAAAGAATAAATAAAAATAAATTTAAAAAAGTTCACTCATAACCCATCCAGATATAGGTAATAATAATTAACAGTTTGTTTATCAAACTCCCGCTTGGGGGAGTGGGCATGGCCCAGCAGCAGGCGTGCCTTACTAGTGAAAAAGCTGGGGTTGGAGCTGGCACGGGGGAGGTGTGGGGGCCCTAGGGGGCTCTGCTTGGACCTTCTGGGTGTCCTCCTGTGACCTCAGGTTCCTCACCTGTCTCAGAGGACTGATGGGCTGCTATGGCAGGGTTGTTTGGAGGATTAAGACAGATAGTCCCGGTAAAGCCCCATTAGCCACACACCCCCACTCCCCGCCCTCTGGATTTTTATTATTATTATTATTATTTTTCTGTCTTTCTGAGGAAACTTTCCAGAATGTGTCCAGGTGTTGAAGCGGGAAGGCTGGACACCCTCCCTTGGCGTCGCGGTTCCTTCCAGACACCCCCTCTTCTTAGGCTTTTTTCAAGCGCACACCAGGCAACATGTGCTCTACCCAAGTGTGCTTCACAGATCTTCCTGTGGGTCTAAAACCAGAACGCTTTCTTCCCTGACCCCTGCCCTCATATCATCTCAACCCCAAGTCTTTTGGCAGAGCCGGCTACGGACTCGAGTGTCAGTTTAATGCTTGTCCCCTAAGGTCTCTCCAGGGCTCTTAGGACGGCGTTAGGGTTAGGATTCGGGTTCGGTGCGCCTCTTGGTGCCCTGCGCTGGCGCTGTGTGCCTTTGCGAGGGCGGAGCTGCGTTCTCCTCAGCACAGGATGAGGTGTGTTCTGCTCAGCACAGACCCGGGGGGCCACCGCGAAGGCAGAGCAGCGTTCTTCTCAGCACAGACCTTGGGGGCACTGCCTCGCTTTGGGACAACTCGGGGCCACATCGACGGTGAATAAAATCCTTCCTGTTTGCAGCGCTGAATAATCAGGGTCAGAGACCCGTTAGAAGGGTTCAGTGTGGAAAACGGGAAACCAAAAGCCCTTCTGAATCCTGCCCACCGAGGTTCTCCCCTGCCAAGGCGAGGCGGCTGCAGTGCGAGATCCACACCGCAGTCTCGGAAGACAAATGCAGGCCGGGCGCGGTGGCTCACGCCTGTAATCCCAGCACTTTGGGAGGCCAAGGCGGGCGGATCACGAGGTCAGGAGATCGAGACCATCCCGGCTAAAACAGTGAAACCCCGTCTCTACTAAAAATACAAAAAATTAGCCGGGCATAGTGGCGGGCGCCTGTAGTCCCAGCTACTTGGGAGGCTGAGGCAGGAGAATGGCGTGAACCCGGGAGGCGGAGCTTGCAGTGAGCCGAGATCCCCCCACTGCACTCCAGCCTGGGCGACAGAGCGAGACTCCGTCTCAAAAAAAAAAAAAAAAAAAAAGACAAATGCAGCATTCCTAATGCAGACATGACACGCAAAATATGACACCCCCATTGCTCATGTAAGAAGCACCTGTGCTAATGCACTGCCTCAATACAAAAACATTAATATAAGATCCAAAATCCCCTCACTGCCGTGCAGCCCTAAGACAGTGATCATAATAATCAACATAGTCATAGTCAATACTAATTTAGTAACGAACCTAGGGTTAAGGTTGGTGTTAGGGTTAGGGGTTAGGGGTTAGGGGTTAAGTTTAGGGTTGGAGATAGGAGTTGGGGTCAGAGTTAGGGGTTAAGAGTCAACGTTTAGAGTTAGGGGTTAAGAGA
This sequence comes from Homo sapiens, assembly GCF_000001405.40. Taxonomy (NCBI): domain Eukaryota; kingdom Metazoa; phylum Chordata; class Mammalia; order Primates; family Hominidae; genus Homo; species Homo sapiens. The sequence goes on along the minus strand of NT_187383.1, from coordinate 366,825 downwards.
GGTTAGGGGTTAGGTATTTGGGGTTAGGGTTGGGTTAGGGTGAGGGTTGGGGTTAGGGGTTAGGGTTAGGGTTAAGGGTTAGAGATTAGGGTTATGGTCAGGGGTTAGGGGTCAGGGTCAGGAATTAGGGGTCAGGGTCAGGGGTCAGGGTCAGGGTTCCCACTCTGTTAGTTGTCTGTTTACTCTGCTGACTGTTCCCTTTGCCATGCAAAAGCTATTTAGTTTAATTAAGTCGCAGCTATTTAGCTTTGTTTTTATTGCATTTGCATTTGGGTTCTTGGTCATGAAATCCTTGCCTATGCCAGTGTCTAGAAGGGTTTATCCAGTGTTACCTTCTAGAATTTTTATAGTTCAGGAATTAGGTTTAAGTTCTTAATCCATCTTGAGTAGATTTTTGTGTAAGGTGAGGGATGAGAATCCAGTTTTATTCCCCTACATGTGGCTCGCCAATTATCCCAACATCATGTGTTGAAAAGGGTGTCCTTTCCCCACTTTATGTTTTTGTTTACTTTGTCAAAGATCAGTTGGCTGTAAGTATTTGGGTTAATTTCTGGGTTCTCTTTTCTGTTCCATTGGTTTATGTGCCTATTTTTAAACCAGTACCATGCTGTTTTGGTAACTATGGCCTTACTGTACAGTTTGAAATCACGTAGTGTGATGCCTCCAGGTTTGTTCTTTTTGCTTAGCCTTGGTTTGGCTACATGGCTCTCTTTTGGTTCCATATTAATTTTAGAATTGTTTTTGTAGTTCTCTGAAGAATGATGATGGTATTCAGATGGGGATTGCATTGAATTTGTAGATTGCCTTTAACAGAATGGTAATTTTCACAGTATTGGTTCTACCCATCCTTGAGCATGGGGATGCATTTCCATTTGTTTCTGTCATCTATGATTTCTTTTCTTTCTTGGTCTTTTTTTTTTTTTCAGAGGGAGTTTCGCTCTTGTCGCTGAGGTGGGAGTGCAATGGTGTGATCTCAGCTCACTACAACTTCTGCCTCCTGGGTTCAAGCGATTCTCCTGCCTCAGCTTCCCGAGTAGCTGGGATTATAGGCATGCGCCACTGTGCTTGGCTCCATCTGTGATTTCTTTCAGCAGTGTTTTGTAATTTTCATTGTAGAGGTCTTTTGATTCCTTTGTTAGGTATATTCCTAAGTTTTTTTTGTTTGTTTTTTTGTTTTTTGCAGCTATTGCAAAAGGGGTTGAGTTCTTGATGTGATTCTCTGCTTGGTAGCTGTTGATGTATAGAAGAGCTACTGATTTGTGTACAATAATCTTGTATCTGGAAACTGCAGAATTATTTTATCATTTCTAGGAGCTTTCTAGAAGAGTCCATAGGGTTTTCAAGGCAAAAGATCATATCGTCAGCAACCAGTGACAGTTTGACTTCCTGTTTACCGATTTGGATTTCCTCTATTTCCTTCTTTTGTCTGATTGCTCTGGCTAGGACTTCCAGTACTATGTTGAAGAGGAGTGGTGAGAGTAGGCTCCTCATCTTGTTGCAGTTCTCAAGGCAATGCTTTCACCTTTTCCCCATTCAGTATTATGTTGGCTGTGGGTTTGTCACAGATGGCTTTTATTACATTAAAGTATGTCCCTTGTATGCCTATTTTGCTGAGAGCTTTAATCATAAAGCAATGCTAGATTTTGTCAAATGCTTTTTCTGCATCTGTTGGTATAATCATGTGAGTTTTTTTTTAATTCTGTTTATTTGGTGTATCACATTTATTGACTTGCGTATGTTAAACCATTCCTGTATCACTGGTATGAAACCCAATTGATCATGGTGGATTATCTTTTTGATATGTTGTTGGATTCAGTTAGATAGTATTTTGTTAAGGATTTTGGCATCTGCGTTCATCAAGGATGTTGGTCTGTAGTTTTCATTTTTGGTTATGTCCTTTCATGGTTTTGGTATTAGGGTAATGCTGGCTTCATAGAATGAATCAGGGAGGGTTTCTTCTTTCTCTGTCTTGTGGAATAGTGTGAAAGGATTGGTATCATTTCTTCTTTGAATGAAAGAAGACATTCTTTGAATGTCTGGTAGAATTCTGCTGTGAATCTGTCTAGTCCTCGGCTTTTTTTGTTGGTAATTTTAATATTACCATTTCGATCTTGCTGCTTGCTTTATTGGTCTGCTTGGGGTATCTAATTCTTCCTGATTTAAGCTAGGAGGGTTTTATTTTTCCAGGAATTTGTCCAACTCTTCTAGGTTTTCTAGTTCATGTGCCAAAGGTGTTCATAGTACCCTTGAATAATCTTTAATATTTCAGTGGTGTCAGTTGTAATATCCCCTGTTTCCTTCCTTAGTGAGGTTATTTGGATTTTCTCTCTTCTTTTCTTGGTTAATCTTGCTAATGGTCTATCGATTTTATTTATCTTTTCGAATAACCAACTTTTTGTTTTATTTATGGTTTGTATTTGTTGTTGTTGTTGTTGTTGTTGTGTCAATTTCATTTAGTTCTGCTCTGATCTTGGTTATTTCCTTTGTTTGCTGGGATTGGGTTTGGCTTGTTCCTGCTTCTCTAGTTCCCTGAGATGTGAACTTAGATTGTCTGTTTGTGCTCTTTCAGACTTTTTGACATAGGTGTTTAGGGCTACAAACTTTCCTCTTAGCACTGCCTTTGCTGTATCCCAGAGGTCTTGATAGGTTTTGTCATCCAGTTCGAAGAAATTTTTTACATTTCCATCTTGATTTCATTTTTCACCCAATGCTCATTCAGGAGCAGGTTATTTAATTTCCATGTATTTGCATGGTTTTGAAGATTCCTTTTGGAGTTGATTTTCAGTTTTATTCCACTGTGATCTGAGAGAGTGCGTGATACAATTTCAATTTTCTTAAATTTATTGAGACTTGTTTTATGGCCTATCATATGGTCTATCTTGGAGAAAATTCCATGTGCTGTGGAATAGAATGTGTATTCTGTGGTTGTTGGATGAAATGTTCTGTATATATCTGTTAAGTCCATTTGTTCCAAAGTATAGTTTAAATCCAGTGTTTCTTTGTGGACTTTCTGTCTTGATGAACTGTCTAGTGCTGTCAGTGGAGTATTGAAGGCCCCCACTATTATTGTGTTGCTGTCTATCTCATTTCTTATGTCTACTAGTAATTGTTTTATAAATTTGGGAGCTCCAGTGTTAGGTTCATGTTTGTTTAGGATTGTCATATTTTTCTGTTGGATGAGGCCTTTACCATTATATACTGTCTGTCTTTGTCTCTTTTAGCTACTGTTGCTTTAAAGTTTGTTTTTTCTCATATGAGAATAGCTACCGCTGTTCACTTTTGGTGTCCATTTGCATGAAATGCCTTTTTCTACCACTTTCCTTAAGTTTATGTAAGTTGTTATGTGTTAGGTGAGTCTCCTGAAGGCAGCAGATAGTTAGTTGGTGAGTTCTTATCCATTCTGTGGTTCTGTATCTTGTAAGTGGAGCATTTAAGCCATTTACAACCAACATTACTATTAAAAAGTGGGGTACCATTGCTTTCATCATGCTGTTTGTTGCCTCTGTACATTGTTTTTGTTTTCTGTTTTTGCTTTTTCACTTGTATTTTTGTTTTATAGGTCTTGTGTGATTTATGCTTTAATGAAGTTCTGTTTTGATGTGTTTCCAGGATTTGTTTCATGATTTAGAGCCCCTTTTAGCAGTTTTTACAGTGCTGGTTTGGTAATAGCAAATTCTGTCAGCATTTGTTTGTCTGAAAATGACTGTATCTTTCCTTCATATATGATGTTTAGTTTTGCTGGATTCAAAATTCTTGGCTGATAATTGTTTTGTTTGAGGAGGCTGAAGAAAGGACCCCAATCCCATCTAGCTTGTAAGGTTTCTGCTGCAAAATCTGCTGTTAGTTTGATAGGTCTTCCTTTATAGGTTACCTAGTGCTTCTGTCTCACAGCTCTTAAGATTCTTTCCTTTGTCTTAACTTTGGATAACCTAATGACAATGTGCCTAGGCTAAGATCTTTTTGTGATGAATTTCCCAGGTGTTATTTGTGCTTCTTGTATTTGGATGTCTAGGTCTCTCACAAGGCCATGGAAATTTTCATTGATTATTCCCCCAAATATGTTTTCCTGGCTTTTAGAATTCACTTATTCCTCAGGTACACCAATTAGTCTTAGGTTTCATCGTTTAACAGAATGCCAGACTCCTTGGAGGCTTTGCTCATATTTTCTTATTCTTTTTTCTTTGTCTTTATTGGATTGGGTTAAATCAAAGACCTTGTCTTCGAATTCTGAATTTCTTTCTTCTACTTGTTCAATTCTATTGCTGAGACTTTCCAGAGCATTTCACATTTCTAAAAGTGCGTCCAAAGTTTCCTGATTTTTTTTTATTTAAGTTATCTATTTCCTTGAATGTTTCTCCCTTCACTTATTGTATTATTTTTTGGATTTTCTTGCATTGGGCTTCACTTTTCTCTGGCCCCTCCCTGATTAGTTTAATAACTAACCTGAATTCTTTTTCAGATAAATCAGTGATTTCTTCTTTGTCTGGTTCCATTGGTGATGAACTGGTGTGATTCTTTGGGGGTGTTGAAGAGTCTTGTTTTGTCAGATTACCAGGGTTGGTTTTCTGGTTCCTTCTCATTTTGGTAGACTCTGTCAGAGGAAAGGTCTAGGGCTGAAGACTGTTGTTCAGACTCTTTGGTCGCATGGAGTGTTCCCTTGACGTAGTACTCTCCCCCTTTTCCTATGGGCATGGCTTCCTGTGAGCCGAAGTGCATTGATTGTTGTCTCTCTTCTGGGTCTAGCCACCCAGCAGGTCTACCTGGCTTTCGGCTGGTACTAGGGGTTGTCTGCATAGAGCCCTGTGATGTGAACCATCTATGGGTCTCTCAGCCATGGATACCAGAGCCTGTTCCAGTGGATGTGGTGAAGGGTGCAGTAGATTCTGTGAGGGTCCTTAGCTTTAGTGGTTTAATGCTCTATATTTGTGCTGGTTGGCCTACTGCTAGGAGGTGGTGCTTTCCAGAAAGCATCAGCTGTAGTAGTGTGGAGGCACTGGCAGTGGGCAGGGACCTAGGACTCCCAAGATTATATGTCCTTTGTCTTCCACTACCAACTTAAACATTTGTGACAATTTCAATATCAGAAATTGATGTGTAATCGAATTTATTCTGGTAGCCTAAATTCTGGTAGCTTATTTTCTTATATCTTCAATCTTTATAATTTAGTTCTCACATGAGGGAGATCTAATATTGGAAATATTTTCAATCTGTATGTTTATGTATTTATTCTAGTTGTCCTGGCACAAGGTTATCAATGTTGCTGTGTGACCAGCCATTGGCTTTTCACATTTACAACTCCTCTGAATTTTTTCTTGCCTCATTTCTGGCACTGGGAAATTCTGATATTTTCTCCTCATCTCCATTGTACATTCTAGGGATTCTTGAAACTTTTGATGCACAAACATCCACACTTTCTGCATAAGTAAAATATTTTACTTAGATATTTTCTAGCGGACACTGAGTTCTCATGAGAAATCCTGTCTCTTTATTTGGAACACCCCCTCCCCAATATTCCATATGGAGTAGTTTTGTGTAGAAAGTGATTACTTCATTAATATGTCAAAGTATGGATACATTTTGAACACATTTCTGAAGTTGTAATACCTTTATTGATGAATAGTACCTGCGCATGACCAGAATTGTATTTTTAGTAGATACGGGGTTTCACCCTGTTAGCCAGGATAGCCTCGATCTCCTGACCTCGTGATCCGCCTGCCTCAGCCTCCCAAAGTGCTGGGATTACAGGCGTGAGCCACCGTGCCTGGCCAATCACATCATTCTTGTATTCACCTAGTGGTCGCTGTGTACCTCCCACGTCAGGCACTGTACTACCAGACACTGAGGATCCGGTGGGGAGCGAGAGGGACTTTAAGGACTGAGTCAGTAGGACATGGGCTGGTGGGATAGGGAAGGATGAGGGAGACAGAGGGTCAGATGATCCCCATGGTTCTGCCTGGGGCACCTGAAGGGAAGTCAGAAAGGAAGCCAGGTTGAAGAGTGATGGCAATGAGTTTTGTGTTTGGTCTGCAGGACAGAGATGCCGGGCTGCGGGGAGGACAGGTAGGAGGTGTGTGTCACAGGTAAAGGCAATTGCTCTGTGGGCCTGGGGTTTGATGGGAAGAGACGCTAAATCATGGTTCATGATTCTTTCTCAAAATTGTAATGCAAAGAGCCCTCATTGAATCTGCATTTTATAGCATGTACTGTGCAAGTTTCGGGGGTATCAGGAAGAAGAAACATGCTCCTTTGTCTCCTGAAGCTCACAGGCTAGTGGACATGGCAGACATGTAAGAGAAGGGAGAAGAGGTCAGTCCACAGAGAACAGCTTTGGGTTTACCTCTGATGCTGGCCCTGACCCAGATCAACCAAACCTAATGGAAACAGAGAGCTGAGAAAGCAGGAGAGTTAAGCTCACTGATGCTCGGATTTTACAGATGAATCTGGAGGCGGTTTCTCCCAGTGCTGACATCCAGGCACTGCGGGTGCCACAGAGAAACATGGAAGGGCCTTCTGGAGAACACCACACCCGGCATCCTTCCCCCTTTTAGAACTGGAGCGAGACAACCATGTGTGTTATCACTACTTTCTTTACAGTGTCGGTCTAACACCGTAATGGTCTGACAGTCCTGCAGGCTGGAAGCCCAGGATCACGGTGCCAGCAAGGTTGGTTTCTTCCAAGGCCTCTCTTCTGGGTGGTGGCCTCACGTGGCCTTTTCTCTGTGGGCACGTGCCCTTGGTGCTTCCCACCACTTTTTTCCAAGTTCACGCTGATCCCTTGAATCAGTTATCACTCCCCCACTTGTTTTCCAGCTTCTGTGATGTTCCTGGCAGGCGCTCCTCTCACTCTCTGCTGTGAACTCTTCCCTTTTACATCTGCAATCCCTTTGCATTCCTTTTAGTGGTGTTTGGAGGAGAAGCAAGGGCTGAAGTTGTTCCCACTCATGTCTTTCGCCCCCCAGGTGCCCCTGATGTTTCAGCTCCCAGTGGTGCCTGCAGGGAGATCCCTCTGTATTTCATAATATTATTTCTATTTTTTATACTTTTTTTTTTGAGATGGAGTTTCACTCTTCTCGCCCAGGCTGGAGTGCAGCGGTACGATCTCGGCTCAATGCGACCTCCACCTTCCAGTTTCAAGCAATTCTCCTGCCTCAGCCTCCCAGGTAGCTGGGATTACAGGTGCTCACCACGATGCCCAGCTAATTTTTGTATTTTTAGTAGAGATAGGGTTTCATCATGTTGGCCAGGATGGTGTCTAGCTCCTGACCTCAGGTGATCCACTAGCCTTAGCCTCCCAAGGTGCTGGAATTACAGGCGTGAGCCACTGCACCTGGCCACACTTTTTTTTTTTTAGTTTCCTTGTAGTACTGCTTGGGCTACATGGCTTAAGCTTTTGTACATAGTTTTCATTGTTTGGTTCTAAATGCTTTTAGATTTTCATTCTAATTCTTCTCGGACCAGTGCATTTTTTTTTAATTTAAAAAATAATTTAATTTAGTTTTATAGAGATGGGGGGTCTCACTGTGTTGCCCAGGCTGGTCTGGAACTCCTGGGCTCAAGGGATCCTCCTGCCTTGGCCTCCCGAAGCTCTGGGATTATAGGTGTGAGCCACCGTGCCTGGCCAGTAGTGTATCTTTAAATTTCCAAACCTAGGGGAGCCCTTAATTTTAGTTTGGTTGCCAATTTATGCCTTTATTCTGTTGCATCAAGAACATGGCTGGTGTGATGCAAGTTCTTTTGCTATTTGTTGAGTCTTGTTTTGCAGCCTAGGACATGGTGAGTGTTAGTAAATGTCCAAGGTGAACTTGAAAACAATGTGTAGTCTGTAGTTTTTGGGTGTCCACTAAATCAAGTTTGTTCAACTTTTCCATATTCTTTTTTTTATTTTTATTTTTTGACAGAGTCTCACTCCGTTGCCCAGGCTGGAGTGCAGGGGCACGATCTCAGCTCACTGAAACCTCAAGTTCAAGTGATTCTCCTGCCTCAGCCACCCAAGTAGCTGGGATTACAGGCATGAGCCACCACATCTGGCTCATTTTTGTATTTTTTTATTTTAGTTTCAGCATGTTGGCCAAGCTGGTCCCAAACTCCCGACCTCAAGTAATCTGCCTGCCTTCGCCTCCCAAAGTGTTGGGATTACAAGCATGAAACACTATGCCTGGCCTAATTTTTCTATATTCTTCCTAATTGAGTCTGCTTAAACGAGCAGTTCCAGTGAGAAGTGGTATAATTTCCTGCGTAGAGAATGTGCTCATTTATTAATTTTTCCTTTTCTTGACACTTTTTTGTTTTGTAGTCATTTGAGGCTCTATTGTTATGCAGGCACACACAAGATCAGAATGGCTAATGCTTCCATTTTTTTTTTTTCCTGTCGCCCAGGCTGGAGTGTAATGGCATGATCCTGGCTCACTGCAACCTTCGCCTCCCAGGTTCAAGCAGTTCTGCCTCAGCCTCTCTAGTAGCTGGGACTACAGGCATGAGCCACCATGCCTGGCTAATTTTGTACTTCAGTAGAGATGGGGTTTCACCATGTTGTTCAGGCTGGTCTCGAACTCCTGACCTCAGGTGATCTGCCTGCCTTGACCTCCCAAAATGCTGGGATTACAGGCGTGAGCCACCATGCCTGGCCACTAATACTTCTTTTAAAATAATTAAATTATTTATGTATTTATTCTTTTTCCCCCACCCCTCCCCCACCAGTGAATGCTTTGGAATGAATACTCATCAGTATGCTGCAACCACTTTTAATCCTAATAATGATTTTGCCCTGGAGCCTACTTTGTGCGATATGAGCTTCTCTCCACTAGCTTCCTTTTGGATGGTCTTTGCCAGATGTGTCTCCTTCTATCTGTAGTAATTAGAGCCATTCCAAGTATGTGTCAAAAATAAACAAAAGGGGCTTATGACCAAGCATGGGCGACTTACACAATCGTCAAAAGAAATGGAAGAACAACTCCCAGCCCTCCGAATCAGCCACCTCCTGGGATCAGGAATAAATCCTAATCTCAAAATACAGGTAAACAGTCTACCTCCTGTCCCCTAAATGAGATGCCAAGCATGCCCCTCCCCTCAGCCAGGCTGTCTCCATCCAAACTTCAATGACCACTGGCCTCCCTGCTGACCCATGTCCCACTGAGGAGCCCCAAGCTCTGAACCAACTGCCTACGCACCATCCCCTCGGGCTGCACCTGCTCCCCAGGCCTGCCCCTCCTTTGGAGCTGCCTCTGTCCACCAAGGGTGCTGTCGCTCACCTAACCTTCCAACCAGAACCCAGTGGTACCTTGCTGCCCCCTCCACTCCCTGAAGAAGCTGCCCCCATGCCTGTCAAGTTCTTCCAACTGCTCAAACCTTCTGGAACTCCAGGCCTCAGCATGTCTTGTCTGGGTGGCTGCAATGGCTAAGCTTGCTTCTCTGTCTCTCTCCATCAGTCAGTCAACCAATCAATCGATCAGTCATCTATCAATCAGCTATCCACCTATTAATCTATAATCAGTAATCTATTAATCTATATAATTTACTTCTATAATCAATCATTGATCTATCCCATGTATCTTCCTATCTACCCTTTATCATGTTTATCCATCTATCTATCATTTATGCCTCTATCATGTCTATCTTTCAATAATTTATCTATCACCAGGCACAGTAGCATGTGCCTGTAGTCCCAGTAACTCAGGAGGCTGAGGCAGGAGGACTGCTTGATGCTAGCAGATCAAGTCCAGACTGGGCAAGATAGTGAGATCTCATCTCTAAAAAAAATTTTTAAATCATCTATCATCGCTCTCTATTCATCTATCTATCCATGTATCTATCATGTATTTTATCTGTCACTTAGCACCTATGAATCATCCATCATCTATCAATCAATTATCTATATCATGTCTATATATCTATATATCTATGTATCAATTTATCCATCAATCATCTATCTGTCTGTTTTTGAGGGGATATTCACAAAATATACAATCAATCCCTTTAAAGTGCACAATTCAGTGGCATTTAGTATGCTCTATAGTTCCAGAACATTTTCTTCGAAATAAAAAGAAACGCGAGGCTGAGTGTGGTGGCTCATGCCTGTAATCCAGCACTGTGGGAGGCTGAGGCAGGACGATCGCTTGAGCTCAGCAGTTTGAGACCAGCCTGGGCAACATAGTGAGATCCTGTCTACAAAAAAAAAAAAATCACAAAATTAGTAGGGTATGGTGGCACACGCCTGTGGTTCCAGCTACTCAGGAGGCTGGGGCAGGATTGCTTGAGCCCGGGAGATCAAGGCTGCAGTGAGTTATGACTGCACCGCTGCATTCCAGCCTGGGTGACACGGTGAGGCCCTGTCTGTCTCATTAAAAAATAAAAAATAAATACAAAATTTTTTAAAAAGGACTGCCCCTGCCCCATTTTCCTTCCCCTGCCCCAGCCTCTGACACCCACTCATCTGCTTTCTGTCCCGATGAGCCTATTCTGGACATTTGTGTCTGGCTTCTTTCACCCAGAACGAACTCTTTGAGGTCTATCCGTCGTGTTATGGTGGAATGGCACCACGCCTTATGGACAGGCTGTTTGTCCATTTGTCTGTTGATGAATACTCAGGCTGTCCCACCTTTGGGAGGCTATGGCCATCCATGCATAAAGGTATGGCCGCACAGCTGTTCTCAGTTCTCATGCCTCTGAGGCCAGATGGGCTGCCACACCCTATTCCCACCAGCCACCCTCACATGCAGCCAAGTGGCCTGCAGTACTCGACACTGCTTCCCTGTTGCTGAAAGCTCCTCGGTGGCCTCTGGGCTAAGTCCTGTCTCTGTAGTGTGGCCTCCAAGGCCCGCCAGCTGCAGCCCTCCCTTCCCCTGCCCTCCCTTCCCCTGCATGCAGCACGAACACCCTGCAATGTGCTCCCAGTTCCCCCCAGGCCCCTGCACAAGTGGCCTCCTCTCCCTAGAAGGGCCAGCAGCACCCTGTGTGGCAGCTTAGACATCCTTTCTCTTGCCTTCGTGCTCCTCCCACAGGGACCAGCATGATCCCGTCCCCTAGTCCTATTTGGGCTCAGCCAGTATTTCTGTGCAATGTTGTTGCAGGTTCTGCCCCGCCACCGTCACAGGAATCCTAAGAACATTGGCGTGAGGCTCGGTGGAGGGCATGTTGGGCCATGTCTTCTGGTGACTTTCCCCCACGGAAGGGCTTGGGGATCAGGCCCACTCCTTTCCCAAACTCACTCTTTCCCCCACAGGCAACCCACTCCCTCTCCTCCATCTCACCCCAAGACCCGCAGCAGACACCACCAGACTCTGAGGCAGGGAGGAAGGACTGCATTTGCCAATGGAGGCTTTTACTGGGGGGGACTCGGGATGGCGCCCGGCCTGAGGGCTGAGGGCCCGGGAAAGGCACACTGTGGCGGTGGGGTCTCTCTCAGGAAGGCGCTGGCTCTGCAGACAGCTCCGCCTGGTGACCCCTCTTTGGCACTGAGCTGGGAACATGGTGTCCGCACTCCCGGCTAGCAAGCAGAGGCCCGTGTGGTCAGGTGGCGGCTGGCAGTGTAGGCTGGCGGGGTGACGGCCACAGGGGCTGGGTTTGACACCAGTGGGAGCCGGGGCCCTAGGGGACTCAGAGGCTGGGCAGCCCCCGCTGCTGGCAGGGTAGTCACATTGGCCACGGAGATGGCTACAAATAGGGAATCCAATAAATTAGGCTGTAGAAAGAGGAGGTGAGGGGCCGAGGGGGCGGGGCCTACATTCTCGCTTGGCAGGCAGTGCTGTGCGTCCCTCTCCCGTGGGATCTTCGGGGCTCTTGTGGGGGAGAGGATGCCGGTGAGGCGCTCTGTGTGACTGTGGGTACCACTGGGTGGCTTTTATGGCATCGCATGGGATGGGAGCCTTGGCTGGCCACCCTCAAGGGATGGATCGTGGGGTCTTTGAGAGACTGACGAGGAGGGATGCCACCTGCAGCGCCAGGGGCTGTGGCCTGAGGGGCTCCTGGGGCTCGGCTGCGCTGCTGTGCGGCCAGCACTGGGCCCCTTGCACTCCAGCTTCCTCCACGGAGCAAAGTAGAGGACTCACTGCCCTGGACAGGGCCCAGTAACTGTGGAACAGCCCCCCCCCCAGGGAGTGGGAGGGACAGGGCGAGGGTTACGCAGGGCGCCACCCTCCTCATCTACTTTCCCGAGGTCGGGAAGGGTCTTCTAGGAGGAGGGGCCAGGCATGCAGGGGCGGGGTGCGTGCGCAGGTGGGTGCTGCTATCTCCTTCATGTGATCCGAGCTTGGGGGCGGGGCAGGGGCTGGGGAGAGTGGTGTCAGGTGGAGGCACCCTGGAGGCCACCAGGGCCTTGTGGGCTAGGTGCCGGCACGTGCGCTGGGGCCGCGGCCTCGCCCAGGATTTGGCAGAGCTCCTGGAGGTGCTGCTGCATCTTGGGAATGCCCGCCAGCTGCTGCTCCAGCCGCTGCTTCTCCTCTGTCAGGCTCAGGCGGGCAGCCGAGCCCAGCTTCTCAAACTTCCAGCCGCCCTCCCCATCGAACTGTAGCAAGTGTGTGTGGTACTTCCTGGCCAGGAGAGGGACAGGGTCAGGGGCATGGCACGAGGGCTGCTGATGACAGCCGCCTGCTGCTGCCGCCGGGCCCAACAGGCCACCTCCTCCCCTCAGGCAGCCACTCCCACTGACCCCAGGCAGGGAGACAGGGCACCTACCACAGGGAGGGCCGGTGGGTGATGGAGAGCAGGGCAATGCCTGCGTCCTTGGCCGCCTGGAAGATCTTGCCTTCCACGTTGATTCTCATGGCGGCACTGGTGCATTCATCCAGGAGGGTGTACTTGGGCCTGGGGGTCTGGGCCGAGAGGAGAGTCTGTGCATCCTCCAGGGCCCAACACCCCAGCCTGGCTCAGGCTTCACTGAGCCCAGGCCTCCCCACAGCTGCTACTTCTCCTTCCAGGGGACCCCAGGGAGCCTGCCGGCCTGGAGTGCTCACCTGTGGTAGAACATGCGGGCCATGCCGATTCTCTGCTTCTCGCCACCCGGCGGGACGTCCTTCCAGTCACACATAGCCTCCTAACCTAGGCAGGGGCAATGGTCTTGGCTCAGTTCCACCAGTACCCAGACCTGGGGGCCAGCCGGGGAGCTGGGGCAGCTGTGGGAATGAGCTAGCTGTGACGACAGGGCCCCTGTGCCTATGCGCCCTTGTCTGTCTGACAGACATTAATCATGGAGGAGTGGGGACTGGAATTGTGCCTTCCCCTAGAAGAGATATGGTGGAGTCCAAGCCCCAACACTTCAGTGTGACCTTATTTGGAGACAGGGCCTTCGCAGAGGTGATCACACTAAGATGAGGTCATCAGAGCAGACCCTAATTCAATATGACTATGTCCTCATAAAAAGGGGGTGTGCGGGCAGAGGACGTGCACAGGGGAACACGAGGTGAAGATACACAGGGAGAAGTGGACCATCTGCGAGCCAAGGACAGAGGCCTGGAACACATCCTTCTGTCATGGCACCTGGAAGGAACCCACCCTGCTAGTACCAGGATCTCGGGCTGCTGGATCCAGGAGATGATCCACCCCTGTGGTTTATGGCAGCCCCAGGACACCCATACAGTTTCTTGGCACAGAGCTCCAGAGCGGCCTGAGTGCTCTCCCCAGACCGGGGGCTTGTCACCCACAGGGGTTGGGCCTCCTGTCACTGCCCCGTGCCAGCACTTTGGCAAGGCTCGAGTGGGCTGCTTGAACGAGCAGGTGAGCTGGCTGCTCCATTAGGCCGGGGCGCTGTGTCAGAAGTAGCCCCTCCTGTCTTCTCACCCATGCTGCCTTCCCCAGCAGCCCAGGGCTAGAAGTGGCGACAGGGTATATGGCCACCCAGAGTAGAGATTACACTTCCCAGGTGGCCTTGTGGTGAGGTGTAAGCATGAGACTAAGTTGTGGCCAATGAGATATAACCGTAACTATTCAATATGGCGGCTTCTGGAACCTTCCTTAAAAGATAGAAGGCACATACCTTTTGCCCCTTCCCTTCTACTTCCTCCATCCTATAGCCTGGGACATGATGTGAGGGCTGCAGCAGCCCTCTTGGATCATGAGGTGACTTTGGGAATGGAGGCCACACACAGCAGAGTGACATGGTAGAAAATCCTAGAGCCTTGGGGCCTTCACAGAGCAGGGCCAGCCCTGGCAACTGTGGCCTGGCTCTCTTGGGACCTAACAGCTCAGTAGGATAAACTCACAGATGATCTTAGCCACTACTGCAGGGAGGCCGGTTCTGTTCCTCGCAGCTCAACTCCATCCTAACGGCTCATGCTGGCCGGCCACAGGCCCTGGGCATTCAGGCTGCCACAGAGGCGGGAGGGGCCATGTGCTCCCAGGCCGAAGGCAGCAGGAGCAAGAGGCAGGGCCGGGCCAGGGGCTGTTCCACCACCATCGCCACCTGTGTTCCCGCTTCCTCCACAGGCAGGTGACAACACCCTGGTCATTTCCTGCAGGAGCCACTTCTTCTCATGTTGCCACCGAGGGAGGGCTTGGTGCCCATGCCCTTGAACCATGAAGGGGAGCCCCAGCAAGGCGAGGTCCTTGCCCAGGGCCATCTCACACCCAGCAGTGGGGGCTGGAAGCAGAACCCAGAGGCTCAGAATTCAAAGACAGAACTGAACGCTCCATCTACTGTGTCCCTGTAGCTGCACCCCCCTCTCCTCCTCCGTTCTCCCGGCCCGACAGACACTGTGGACAAGCAGTATTCCTTGATAAGCCCAGGACAAGAAAACAGCTCAGGCTGGCCTCCTTTTCAGTGAACTCATCTCTGAATCCACCCGACTCTGCTGGCCCCAGCCCCCTCCAAGCTTCTGCACAGACCTCCTGACGGTAGCCATCACTGCACACATGTGCCTACCCCTCCCAAGCTGCCCCTGCCCACCGCCCCATGGTCTTTCCAAGAGCGTCTGATCCCGCTCAGGGAAAGCCTAGGCTCCCGCCTGGTCCGGAGGGCCCTCTGTGAGCCAGCCTCTCACACCACCAAGCCTGCGGGCCGCACTCTGCCCTGCTGCCCCTGGCTCCTGGACGGGGTAACCACTCAGCATTCTGCAGGGCTCAGCTCAGACCCCTTTTCTCTGGGAGAGGGTATCCTGGGTCCCCCAATGAGGTGCGCATCCCTGCTAGGTGCCCCCTTCCCTAGAGCACCCATGCCAGCTGGGGCCATCTGTGTGGTGTTGGTCCTCCCTGGTAGGCGGGCCTCAGAGGTAGCACCCTCTGCCCTGCCCCTGTGGCACCTGGCACTTTAGACTCCTGGATGTTGAGATAATCTTCACTGCCTGGAGGCCAAGGGAGAGGCCAGGGTGGGACAAAGGGCGGCTGCTAGCCCCAGGCCTCCTACCTCCCTCCCGCTGCAGGATGTAGTGCAGGTGCATGATGTCCAGGATGGCTTCCAGGTCCTGCTCTGAGTAGCCCTTCCTTCGCATGTCCTCCACTGAGTCCGGGTAGGTCACCTGGTCACGCAGGGAACCCACAGACATGTAGGGCCTGTGGGAAAGCTGGGTGTCCACGGAGGGAAGGGCCAGCCCTGCCTCCCCCAAGATACTCTGCGCCTCCCAGGCAGTGTAGATTCTGTCTGCTGTAGACAAAATAGTGGCCCCCCAAAAATGTTCATGTCCTAATTCCCAGAGTCTAACATACAAATATGTTAGATGGCATGGCAGTGGGAAATTAGATTTCAAGTGAAATTAAGGTTGCAAAGGTGGCGGGAGCAAAAAGCCGCAGCAGCAAAAATCCGCGGCGGCAGGGGCAAAAAGCCGCGGCGGCGGGAGCAAAAAGCCGCGGCGGGCAAAAAGCCGCGGCGGTAAAAAGCCGCGTCGGCGGGGTGGAGGGCAAAAAGCCGCGGCGAGGCAAAAAGCCTTGGCGGGCAAAAAGCTGAGGCGGGGTGGAGGCAAAAAGCTGCGGCGGGTAAAGAGCCGCGGCGGTGTGGGGGGCCAAAAGCCGCGGCGGCGGGTGGGGGCAAAAAGCCAGGGCGGGCAAAAAGCCGCGGCAGCGGAGGGCAAAATAGTGGAGATGGGGTAGAAGGCCGGCACAGCTTGGCGTTGCTGGAGTGTGATGTGATAGGAAATGTGCAGCCAAAGACAAAAAAAGATGTAAGTAAGCTTGACTCATTGCAGCTAAGAACCCAGATGTTATCTTGAGGGTATTAACTAATAAGCAGTTTAAATCAGAATGGCACATTCTGATTTGTTGTTTGTATGTTCACATTTGGCAGGCATAGATACTGTTTGAAGAGAGAAAATTCAGTAGATAGAGGTAACAAACTTAAATATGTGCCAAGTCTAGAAACAAGAGACCAGGGGGATAAGGACCTTTCAAAATAAAATGCAAGATTTGAAAACTGATTGGCTGGGGGATGAGGAAAAGGCAGGTCTTTAAGGTCCATCCCTGTTTTGCTTTAAGGTATTAGGGGGTGGTTTTATCACATATTGTAGAATATGTCATTTCAGTTTTGAACATCTTGAGTTAAATTGTCCTAACATATCTTATGAATTTGATTTTCTTCCCTGGGAAGCTAATATTTCAAAAACTTAAAGAGTATAGGTTTCCAACTTGTATCCAATTTATAAAACTATCTCTAGGCTGCTGGCTTCAGGAGGAGGCTCATGAATATTCTCTTTGCAGAGAATATATCAGGAGTTAACAACAGCTTCAATATTTGTGGACGACGAGTTAACTAAGCCACCTCTTAGTGTATTTAAAGGGAAATCTTAGCTGAAGATATTCAATAATGAACCAACAGTGACTAAAAAATTCAATATTTAAGTATATTTCATTGTAATTAATTTGAATTGAAGTAGCCATATACAGCTAGTATTTACTACAATGAACAATGCAAATAAGAGGAAAAAATTAATAACCATCTCTAATACCACATGCCAAAATCCTCATCAATTTATTCTAGCTAAAGGAGTTTATCAGAAGCAGCAGTTGAAAGCACCAACTAAACCAGCTGGGGTTAGTTCACTGTCATTCTCTCAGAACCATCTCTTCTCTGAACAAAACAAGTACAAGAGTTCATTGTGAATCTGCATTCTCCTTGCCTATTTTAAGGTTTTGATGTTGACACTAATTTGTGAAATCCCTCCTGTGGTGTGATATTTCATTTTCCTTGCTTTCTGTTAGGACAAGAATGCTTCAGCTCTTAATTTAAAATTATGCTTCTCCCTCCTAGGTTGAGTGAACTTAGAATGCATTCTCTGACATATCCAAGTTTTTGTTAATATGAATTTGGGGAAAAAAGCATACTTAATTAGCTAAGACTTCTTATTCTAGGCTTGACCCTGTGTTTGACGTCTTTTGAATTTCTAGTTGCATGGGCTGCTCTCTGACACTGGTTAGTGACCTGGAAGCTATATTAATGTTAGGGGAGGTGGTGTATGAGCATTAGAGGTATCCTTGCAAGGAAAGACTTGTCTTATCTCAATACGTCTTTTTTTTGCCCACAAGAAAGTCAATGTTTGAGTCTTCTAAAATCTTCCTATTTCCAAGTTGCAGAGTACCATTGATTCCTAAACAAAGACCTAATTTTTGACTCAGAGACGTGACAAGGTAGTGAATCGCCATTATAATTTAACAATCTTCAAGATAAAATTATCTCTGATATTTAGATTTTGCCCAATTATTAAGATATTAGGGTGTTTCATTAAGAATGGAAGACTCTAGTCTCTTGAGCAGAGACTATAAAGGCCTCAGATGACCATTTTTAATTTTATGCTCTTTTCTTTAACACCTTCAACACAGTTGGAAGCAGCTGATATTCCCCAGAGTTGTTGTGTTTTTTAAACCAAATGCATGGTTCAGTGGTAGAAAACTGGGCTGATCCAAGCTGTTTTCAGTAAACACTTCATTTCAGGTGACCTATTTCATATTAAATAATCTCTAGATCCTGTCTTCGAAACTAACTAGATCAGATAACCTACCCTGGATTTTCTCCTTTTAGGGTCTGTGAGCTGCAGTCACTTTTGTGAAAATGATTGCAATGACAAGATAGAGTTGTAGATGGGAAAAATGTTTTGACTAATTTAAGCATAGTGGTATTTCATATGAGAATTTAAGTTACACACATTTGAAAATTATAATGGAGTCTCTTGGCTGAGCTTTAAAAAAAATAGCGTTTAGGCTAAAAAGGGAACTGCTACCTCTCCTAAAATCAGAAAGATGTTACAGTAATTCTCCATTCTCTAGAATTATCAGGAAGCACCTTTATGATGATTTACTTTTGCTCTTGGGAGTGTGAGCCTGTGCAGTCGTGGAACCATCAATTAGAATGGTGGCTTTCTGATCCCAAAATCATTCGTTCTGAAAACAATATTTTTCATAAATTTGAAAGTGAGAAATTTTGATCTTGCCATTCCCAAGTAACTCTCTTAATGAGAGGCATCAGCATGCTTCAGTGACAGCTGTCACCTTCCACTGCTGAGAGCCGTCTTTGAGTTCTCCATTTCACTCCCTACACTCCAATTTAGCTGCAGTTCTCTTGGCCAGTCCTATGAAATACATCCATGGCCTAACGACTCCTCACCACTACTACCACTCATCCTGACAGCATTCTCACCTAAGTCACTACCTTTTTTCTTGGGATTACGGTAGCCTCCCAATTTATTTGCTCACATAACCTATTTATTCTACACAGTGCACCAGATACACCCCTTTGAAATGCAAACACAATCATGTTATTCTCTGGTGAAATTGTCTCATATATTCCTATCGCATTTAAAATTAATTCAGAATCATCCCATGATTATCAAAACCCTACATGCTCTTCCACAACATGGTTTACTTCCAAGATATCTCTTCAACTTTTTTTTCACTGTACTGAATTGGTGACTAATAGTCATATTTTTGTTTTTGCTCAAAAAGTCTTGACTTGTGAATTTTTCAGTTTCTCCTTTATCCACAGGTAACTCTTTCCTCATAAGGCTAATTGCTTGCTTCAATGGCCTATTCAGAGAAAGGACATTTGGGAACTTTTCGAGGACAATGACAAAAAGGCAAATAGCCCAGGATAAAAAGTAGAAAGAAACCAACTGAAAAACTGCTCTGTGATGTGTCCATTCATCTTGCAGTGTTATACCTTTCTTGTAACACAGCAGTTTGGAAACACTTTTGTTGTAGAATGTGTGAAGGGATATTTGGGAGCGCCTTGATGCCTATGTGAAAAAGAAAATATCTTCAGATAAAAAGTAGAAAGAAGCTCTCTGAGAAACTGCTTTGTGATGTGTGCATTCACCTGACAAAGTTAAACCTTACTTTTGATTTAGCACTTTCAAAACACTGTTTTTCTGCATTCTGCGAATAGACATTTGGGAGATCATTGAGACCAATGGCAAAAAAGCAAATATCCAAGGATGAAAACTAGAAGGAAGCTATCTGAGAAACCACTTTGTGATGTGTGCATTCAACTCACAGAGTGAAACCTTTATTTTCATACAGCAGTTTGGAAACACTGTTTTTGTAGAATCTGCAAATTGATATTTGAGAGCACATTGAGGCCTAAGGGGTAAAAGTAAGTATCTTCAGATTAAAACTAGAAAGAAACTTTTTGAGAAACTGCTTTGTGATGTGTGTATTCATCTTGCAGACTGAAACCTTTCTTTTGATTCAGCAGTTTGGAAACACTGTTTTTGTCCATTCTGCAAATGAACATTTTGGAGCTCATTGAGGCCAATGGTGAAAAAGAGAATATCCCAGTGTAAAAATTAGAATGAAACTATCTGAGAAATGGTTTTGTGATGTGTGCATTCATCACACAAATTTAAACATTTCTTTTCATTCAGCAGTTTGGAAACTCTGATTTTGTAGATTCTCTGAAGGGCTATTTGGAAGTGCACTGAGATCTACTGTGAAAAAGAAAATATCTTTAGATAAAAACTAGAAAGAATCTTTCTGAGAAACTGCTTTGTGATGTGTGCATTCATCTCGAAATGTTAAAACTTTATTTAGATTCAGCAGTTTGAGAGCACTGTTTATGTCCATTCTGCGAATGGACATTTGAGAGCTCATTAAGGGCAAAGGCAAAAAAAAAAAAAAAAATCCCAGGATAAATACTAGAAGGAAGCTATCTGCAAAACCGCTTTGCTATGTGTGCATTCATCTGTCAGAGTTAAAACTTTGCTTTCATTCAGGGGTTTAAAACAGTGTTTTTGTCCATTTTGCAAATGGACATTTGGGAGCTCATTGTGGTCAATGGCAAAAAAGCAATTATCCCAGGATAAATACAAGAAACAAGGTATCTGAGAAACCGCTTTGTGATGTGTGCATTCATCTCACAGAGTTAAACCCTTCTTTTCATTCAGCAGTATAGAAACACTTTTCTTGTAGAATCTGCAAAGGGATATTTGGGAGTGCATTGAGGCCTATGGTGAAAAAGAAAATATCTTCAGATAAAAGCTAGAAAGAAGCTTTTGGAGAAGCTGCTTTGTGACGTGTGCATTCATCTCACAGAGTTAAACCTTTCTTTTGATTCCGGATTTTGGAAACACTGTGTTTGTCCATTCTGGAAATAGCCATTTTTGAGCTCATTGAGGCCAATGGTGAAAAATAAAATACCCCAGCATAAAAACTAGAAGGAAGCTATCTGAGAAACTGCTTTGTGATGTGTGCATTCATCTCACTGATTTAAACCCTTCTTTTATTCAGCAGTTTGGAAACACTGCTTTTGTTCTTCCTGTGAAAGGACATTTTGGAGCTCATTGGGGCCAATGGCAAAAAAGCGAATATCCCAGGATAAAAACAAGAGTGAAGCTGTCTGAGAAACCGCTTTTCGATGTGTGCATTCACCTGGCAGAGGTAAACTTTCCTTTTCAGTCAGCAGTTTGGGAATGCTGTTTTTGTAGAATCTGTGAAGGGATATTTGCGAGTGCATTGAGGCCTGTGGTGAAAAAGGAAATATCTTCAGATAAAAATTAGAAAGAAGTTTCCTGAGAAACTGCTTAAAGAGGTGTGCATTCCTCTCACAGGGTTAAACCTTTCCTTTGATTCAGCAGTTTGGAAACACTGTTTTTGTACATTCTGGGAATGGACATTAGGGAACTCACTGATGCCATTTGTGAAAAACTGTATACCCCAGGAAGAAAACTGGAAGGATATTATCTGAGAAACCCCTTTGTGAAGTCAGCATTCGTCTCTCAGAGTTAAATCTTTCTTTTCATTCAGAAGTTTGGAAACACTGTTTTTGTTGAATCTGCCAAGTAATATTAGGGTGTACGTTGAGGCCTAGGGTGAAAAAGAAAATATATTCAGATAAAAACGAAAAGAAGCTTTCTGAGAAACTGCTTTGTGATGTGTGCATTCATCTCACTGAGTGAAAACTTACTCTTGATTCAGCAGTTTGGAGACACTTTTTTGTGCATTCTGTGAATGGACATTTAGGAGCTCATTGAGTCCAAAGGTGAAAAAGTGAATATCTGAGGATAAAAACTACTACGAAGCTATTGTGAAACCGTTATGTGATGTCTGCATTTATCTCACGGAATTAAACCTTTCTTTTCATTCATCAGTTTGGAAACACTGTTTTTGTAGAATCTGCAAAGAGATATTTGGGAGGGCATTGAGAGCTAAGGCAAAAAAGCAAACATCCGAGGAAAAAAACTAGAAAGAAATTATCTGAGAAATGGCATTATGAAGTGTGCATTCATTTTACAGTGTTAAACCTTTATTTTCATTCAGTAGTTTGGAAATGCTGTTTTTGTCAAATCAGCAAAGGGATATTTTGGAGTGCATTGAGGCCAATGGTGAAAAAGAAAATATCTTCAGATAAAAAGTAGAAGGAAGCTTTCTGAGAAACTGCTTTTTGATGTGTGCATTCATCTCACAGAGATAAACTTTCCATTGATGCAGCAGTTTGGAAACACCAGTTTGTCTTTTCTGTGAGTGGACATTTGGGAGATCATAGAGGCCACTGGAGAAAAAGCAAATATCCAGACACAAAAACTAGAAGGAAACTATCTGAGAAAATACTTTGTTACGTATGCATTCACCTCGCAAAGTTAAACTTTTTTTTCATTAAGCAGTTTGGAAACAATGATTTTGTAGAATATGCGAAGGCATATTTGGGAGAATTTTGAGACTATGGTGAAAAAGAAAATACAGATAAAAACTAGAAAGAAGCTTTCTGAGAAACTGCTTTGACAGGTGTACATTCCTCTCACAGCTAAACCTCTCTTTTGATAGAGTAGTTTGGAAACACTGTTTTTGTCCATTCTGTGAATGGACATTTGGAATCTCATTGAGACCAATTGTGAAAAAGTGAATATCCCTGGATAAAAACTAAAAAAAATCTATCTGAGAAACTGCTTTGTGATGTGTGCAATCATCTTGCAAAGTTAAATCTTTCTTTTAAATCAGCAGTTATCTGCAAAGGGATATTTGGGAGCACTTTGAGGCCTATGGTGAAACAGAAATCATCTTCACATAAAAACTAGAAAGAAGCTTTCTGAGAAACTGCTTTGTGACGTGTGCATTCATCTTACAGACTTTACCTTTCCTTTTCATACAGCAGTTTGGAAACACTGTTTTTGTCCCTTCTGGGAATGGAAATTTGCAAGCTCATTGAAGCCCGTGGTGGAAAAGCAAATATCCCAGGATATAAACTAGAAGGAAACTACCTGATAAATAACTTTGTGATGTGTACATTCAGGTCAGAGTTAAACCATACTTTTGATTCAGCAGTTTGGGAACACATTTTTTGTCCAATGTGCAAATGGACAATTGGGAGCTCATTGAGGAAAATGGAAAAAGGGGAATATCCCAGGTTAAAAACTACAAGAAAGCTATCTGAGAAACTATTTTGTCATGTGTGCATTCACCTCACAAAGTTAAACCTTTCTTTTCATTCAGCATTTTGGAAACACTGTGTTTGTACGATTGGTGAAGGGATATTTGAGAGTATGTTGCACCCTATGGTGAAAAAGAAAATATCTTCAGATAAAAACTAGAAGGAACCTTTCTGAGAAACCACTTTGTGATGTGTGCATTCGTCTCACAGAGTTAAACCTTTCTTTTGATTCAGCACTTTGGAAACACTGTTTTCATCCTTTCTATGAATGGTCATTTGGAAGCTCATTGAGGCTAGTGGTGAAAAAGCTAATATCCCAGGATAAAAACTAGAATAAATCTATCTGAGAAACCACATTGTGATGTGTGCATTTGTCCCACAGATTTAAACCTTTGTTTTTCATGCTGCAGTTTTGAAACACTGTTGTAGAATCTGTGCAGGACTATTTGTGTGTACATTGAGGCCTAAGGTGAAGAAGAAAATATCTTCAGATAAAAACTGGAAAGAAGCTTTCTGAGAAACTGCTTTGTGATGTGTGCATTCATCTCACAGAGTTAAAACTTTCTGTTGATTCAGCAGTTTGGAATAACTGTTTTTGTCAATTCTGCAAATGGACGTTTGGGAGCTCATTCAGGACAAAAGCAAAAAAAAGTGAATATCCCAGAATAAAAATTAGAAGAAAGCTGTCTGAGAAACTGCATTGTGATGTGTGCATTCAACATGCAGCGTTAAACCTTTCTTTTCTTTGAGCAGTTTGGAAACGCTGTTTTAAAGAATCTGCGAAGGGATATTTGGGAGCCCATATAGACCTAGGTTGAAAATATCTTCAGATAGAAACTAGAAAGAAGCTTTCTGAGAAGCAGCATTTTGATGCATGCATTCATCTCACGGAGTTACCACTTTCTTTTGATTCAGTGGTTTCAAAACACAGTTTTTGTCCATTCTGCAAATTGACATTTGGGAGTTCGAGGCCAGTGGTGAAAAAGCATATCCTAGGATAAAAACTAGAAGGAAGCTGTCTCAGAAACGGTTTTTTGATGTGTGCATTCATCTCGCAGATTTAAACCTTTCTTTTCCTTCAGGAGTTTGGAAACACTGTTTTTGTCCATTCTGTGAATGAACATTTGGGAGCTCATGGAGGCCAATAGCAGAAAAGTGAATACCCCTGGATAAAAACAAGAAAGAAGATATCAGAGAAAAGGCATTGTGATGTGTGCCTTCATTTTGCAGAGATAAACCTTTCTTTTCATTCAGCATTTTAAAAACCCTATTTTTGAAGAATCAGGAAAGGGATATTTGGGAGCACATTGAGGCCTATGGTGAAAAGGAAAATATCTTCAGATAAAAATTAGAAAGAAGCTTTATGAGAAACTGCTTGGTGATGTGTGCATTCATCTCATAGAGTTTCACTTTCTTTCAGTTCAGCAGTTTAAAAATTCTGTTTTTGTCCATTCTGTGAATGGACATTTTGAATCTCATTGAAGCCAGTGGTGAAAAACTGAATATCTCAGGAAAAAAATTAGAATGAAGCTGTCTAAAAACCCACTTTGTGTTGTGTGCATTAACCTCAAAGAGTTAAACTTTTCTTTTCATTCAGCAGTTTGGAAACACTGTTTATGTAGAATATGCCAAAGAATATATGGGAGCATATTGAGGCCTATGTTGCAAAGGAAAATATCTTCAGATAAAAACTAGAAGGAAGCTATCTGAGAAACTGCTTTGTGATGTGTGCATTCATCTCACAGAGTTAAAACTTCCTTTTTACTGAGCAATTGGGAAACCCTGTTTTTGCCCATTCTTTGAATGGACATTTTGGAGATCTTTGAGGCCACTGGTGAAAAAACGAATATCCCAGGATAAAAAATAGAATGAAGCTATCTGAGAAACCCCTTTGTGGTGTGCACATTCATCTCACACAGATAAACCTTTCTTTTCATTCAGCAGTTTTGAAAGGCTGTTTTGTAGAATCTTCAAAGTGATACTTGGGAGGGCATACAGGCCTATGTTGAAAAAGAAAATATCTTCACACAACAAAAATAAAGAAAGTTTCTGAGAAACTCCTTTGTGATGTGTGCATTTGCCTCACAGATTTTAACTTTTCTTTTCATTCAGGAGTTTGGAAAAACTGTTTTTGAAGAATCTGCAAAGGGTTACTTGGGAGTGCATTGAGGCTATGGTGAAAAAGAGACTGTATTCATATAAATAGTAGAAAGAAGCTTTCTGAGAAACTGCTTTGTGATTTGTCCATTCAACTCACAGAGTTAGACATTTCTTTTGACTTAGCAATTTGTAACACTGTTTTTTTGTCCATTCTGTGAATGGGTATTTGAGAGCTCATTGAGGTCAATGGCAAAAAAAGCAAATATCCCAAGATAGAAATTAGAAGAAAACTATCTGAGAAACCACTTTGAGATGTGTGCATTCATCTCTCAGAGTTAAACTTTCTTTTCATTCAGCAGTTGGCAAACACTGTTTTTGTAAAACTTGCACAGGTATATTTGGGAGCCTATGGTGAAAAAGAAAATACCTTTATGTAAAAACTAGAAAGAAGCTTTCTGAGAAACTGATTTTTGATGTGTGCCTTCATCTCACAGAGTTAAACCTTTCTTTTCATTCAGCATTATGGAAACACTGTTTATCTAGAATCTGTGAAGGGATATTTGGGAGCACATTGAGGCCTATGGTGAAAAAGAAAATATCTTCAGGTAAAAACTGGAACTAAACTTCCTGAGAAACTCCTCTGTGATGTGTGCATTCATCTCACAGAGTTAAACCATTCTCACTCAGCAGTTTAGAAACACTATTTTTGCCTATTCTTTGAATGGACTTTTTGGAGCTTATTGAGGCTAATGACAAAAAAGCAAATATCCCTAAATAAAAACTAGAAGGAAGCTATCTGAGAAACCACATTGCAATGTTTGGATTCATCTCACAGAGTTAAACTTTCATTTTCATTCAGCTGTTTGGAAACACTGTTTTTGTAGTAACTGCAAAGGGACATATGGGAGCACATTCAAGCCTATGGTGAAAAAGAAAATAAATTCAGATTAAAAACTAGAAAGAGGATTTCTGAGAAACTGCTTTCTGATGTGTGCACATAAATTGTCTTACAGAGTTAAACCTTTCATTTGATTCAGCAGTTTGGAAACACTGTTTTTCTCCATTCTGCAAATGGACATTTGGGTGCTCATGGAGGCCGATGGCAAATAAGAAAATATCCCCAGAAAAAACTAGAAGGAAACTATCTTAGAATCCTCTTTGTGATGTATGCAGTCATCTCACAAAATTAAACTTTTTTTTCATTCAGCAGTTTGGAAACACCACTTTTTCCTTTCTGTCAATGGACATTTGGGAGCGCATTGAAGCCAATGGCAAAAAAGCACATATCAAAGGATACACACTAGAAGGAAGATGTCTGAGAAACCACTTTGAGATGTGTGCATTCATCTCAGAGAATTAAACCTTTCTGTTCTCTTTTTAAATTTTACTTTAAGATCTAGGGCACAAGTGCACAATGTGCAGGTTTGTTACATATGTATACATGTGCCATGTTGGTGTGTGCACCCGTTAAATCATCATTTATATTAAGTATATCTCCTAATGCTATCCCTGCCCCCTCCACCGTCCCCATGACAGGCCCTGGTGTGTGATGTTTCCCTTCCTGTGTCCAAGCGTTCTCATGGTTCAATTCGCACCTATGAGTGAGAACATGCAGTGTTTGGTTTTCTGTCCTTGTGATAGTTGGCTGAGAATGATGGTTTCTGCACGAGAATGGTGGAATCTGCACAGGGGTATTTGGGGTTGCATTGAAGCCTACGTTGAAAAAAGTGAACATCCCAGAATGAAAACTAGAAGGAAGCTATCTGAGAAACCACTTTGTGATTGGTTCATTCATCTCACAGAATTAAACCATTATTTTCATTCAACAATTTGGAAACAATGCTTTTCTGGATCTGCAAAGGGCTATCTGGGAGAGCATTGAGTCCTATGGTGAAAAATAAAATATCTTCACATAAAAACAATAAAGAAGATTTCTGAGAAACTGCTTTGTCATGTGTGCATTCAACTCTCAGAAATAAAAATTTCTTTTGATTCAGCAGTTTGGAAATACTGTTTTTGTTCCTTCTGTGAATGGATATTTGGGAGCTTTTTGATGCCAATGGTGAAAAAGAAAATATCCCAGGATAAAAACTAGAAGGAAGCTATCTAGAAACCACTTTGTGATATGTGCATTCATCCCTCAGAGTTAAACCTTTCTTTTCAGTGAGCAGTTTTGAAACAGTATATTTTAGAATCTGCAAAGGGACTTTTAGAAGTGCATTGAGGACTATGGTGAAAAAAGAAATATCTTCAGATAAAAACCAGAAAGAAGCTTTCTGAGAAACTGCTTTGTTATGTATAAATTCCTCTCACACGGTTACACCTCTCTTTACATACAAAAATTTGTAAACACTGTTTTTGTCCATTTCTGTGAATGTATATTTGGGAGCTCATTGAGGCCAATGGAAATAATGAATATGCTTGGATCAAAACTACAAGGAAGCTATCTCAGAAACTGCTTTGTGATGTCTGCATTAGTCTCACAGAGTGAAGCCATTCTTTTCATTCAGCAGTTTGGAAACACTGTTTCTGTAGAATCTGTGAAGGGATATTTGGGAGAGTATTGAGGCCTATGGTGAAAAAGAAAATATCTTCAGATGAAAACTAGAAAGAAGCTTTCTGAAAAACTGCTTTGGGAGGTGCGCATTCATCTCACAAATTTAAACCTTTCTTTTGATTCGGCAGTTTGGAAACTGTATTTCTCCGTTGGGTAAATGGACATTTGGGAGCTCATTGAGGCCAATTGTGAAAAAGCAAATATCCCAGGATAAAATCTCGAAGGAAGCTGTCTGAGAATCTGCTTTGTCATGTGTACCTTCATCTCACAGAGTTAAACCTTTCTATTCTTTCAGCAGTTGGAACACTATTTTTAAAAAATCTGTGATGGGATATTTGGGAGTGCATTGAGACCTATTGTGAAAAAGAAAATGTCTTCAGAAAAAAACCAGAAAGAAGTTTTCTGAGAAACTGCTTTGTGATGTGTGCATTCCTCTCAGAGAGCTAAACCTTTCTTTTGATTCAGTAGTTTGGAAAAACTGATTTTGTCCATTCTGTGAATGGACATTTGGGAGATCATTGAAGCCAATGGTCAGAAATAAAATCTCCCATGATAAAAAATAGAAGGAAGCTATCTGAGAATCCACTTTGTCATGTGTGGATTCACCTCACAGAGCTAAACCTTTCTATTCATTCAGCAGTTTGGAAACACTGTTTTTAAAGAATATGCAATTTGATATTTGGAAGCTCATTGAGGACTATGGTGAAAAAGAAAATATCTTCAGATAAAAACTAGAAGGAAGCTTTCTGAGAAACTGCTTTGTGAAGTTTGCATTCATCTCATAGAGTTAAACCATTCTTTTGATTCAGCAGTTTGGAAACACTCTTTTTGTCAATTCTGCATATGAACACTGGGATCTCGGTGAGGCCAATGGCAAAAAAGTGAACATCCCAGGAAAAAAACTAGAAGAAATATATCTGAGACACCGCTTCACAAAGGGTACGTTCATCCCACAGAGTTAAACCTTTTTTTTTTCCATTCAGCAGTTTGGAAACACTGTTTTTGTATAATCTGCAAAGGGATATTTGGGAGCACCTTGAGGTCTATGGTGAAAATAAAGTAAATTCAGATAAAAACTAGAAGAAGCTTTCTGAGAAACTGCTTTCTGATATGTGCATTCATCTCACAGAGTTAAACTTTCTTTGATTCAGCTGTTTTGAAACACTGTTTTTGTCCATTCTGTGAACGGACATTTGGGAACTCATTGAGGCCAACATCAAAATATTGAATATCCCATGATAAAAACTACAATAAAGCAGTCTGAGAAACCGTTTTGTGATGTGTGCATTCATCTAACAGAGAAAAACCTTTCTTTTGATTCAGCTGTTTGGAAACACCGTGATTGTCCATTGTGCGAATGGATATCTGAGTGCTCATTCAGTCCAATAGCGAAAAAGCAATTATCCCAGGATAAATAGTGGAAGGAAGCTGTCTTAGAAACCACTTTGTGATGTGTCCATTCATCTCCCACAGTTAAACCTTTCTTTTGATACATCACTTTGGAAACACTGTTTTTGTACAATCTGGGAAGGGGTATTTTGGAGTGCATTGAGGTCTATGGTGAAAAAGAAAATACGTTCAGTTGAAAACTAGAAAGAAGTTTTCTGAGAAACTGCTTTGTGAGGTGTGCATTCATCTCACAGTGTAAAACCTTTCTTTAGATTCAGCAGTTTGGAAATACTGTTTTTGTCCATTCTGCCAATGGACATTTGGGAGCACATTGAGGCCAATAGCAAAAAAGTGAGTATCCCACAGTAAAAACTAGAAGGAAGCAAACTGAGAAACCAGTTTGCATTGTGTGCAAACTGCCTCCCACAGTTAAACTTTTCTTTTGATTCAGCAGTTGGAGACACTGTGTTTGTCCATTCTGTGAATGCACTTTTGGGAGCTCATTGAGGCCAATGGTGAAAAAAGCAAATATCCCAGGATGAAAACTGGAAGGAAGCTATCTGAGAAACTGCTTCATGATGTGTGCATTCATAAGTCAGTGTTAAACATTTCTTTACATTTAGCAGTTTGGAAACACTGTTTTTGTAGAATCTGTGTAAGGATATTTGGAAATGCATTGAGGTATATGGTGAAAAAGAATATATCTTCAAATAAACTTAGAAAGAAACTTTCTGAGAAACTGCTTTGTGACATGTGGATTTATCTCACATAGTTAAAACTTTTTCTCATACAGCTCTTTTCAAACACTGTCTTTGTCCATTCTGCAAATGGACATTTGGGAGCTCATTGAGGACAATGGCGAAAAAGTGAATATCCCAGAATAAAAACAAGAAGGAAGCTGCCTTAGAAACCATAATGTGATGTGTGCATTCATCTCACATAGTTAAACCTTTCTTTTGATACAGCAGTTCAGAAACACTTTTTGTCCATTCTGCAAATGGACATTTGGGAGCTCTTTGAGGCCCATGGCAAAAAAGTGAATATCCAAGGTTAAAAACTGGAAGGAATCTATCTGAGAGCCCGCTTTATGATGTGAACATTCATCTTGCAGAGTTAAACTATTTTTGATTGAGCAGTTTGTAAACTCTGTTTTTGTCCATTCTGTGAATGAACACTTGGGAGCTCATTGAGGCCAATGGTGAAAAAGTTAATATCCCAGGATAAAAACCAGTAGGAAGATATCTGAGAAATAACTTAGTGATGTACACATTCGTTTGGCAGAATTAAACCTTTATATTTATTCAGTAGTTTGGAAGCACGGTTTTTGTAGAATCTGTGAAGGGATCTTAGGGAGCACATTCAGGCCTTCAGTGAAAAAGAAAATATATTCAGATAAAAACCAGAAAGAAGATTTCAGTGAAACAGCTTAGTGATGTGTGAATTCATCTCACAGAGTTAAAAAAATTCTATCATTCAGCAATTTGGAAACACTGTTTTTGTAGAACCTTCAAAGGGATATTTGGGAACACATTGAGGCCTATAGTGAAAAACAAAGTATATTCAGATGAAAATTAGAAAGAAGCTCTCTAAGAAACTGCTTTGTGGTGTGTGCATTCATCTCACAGAGTTAAACTTTTCTTTTGATTCAGCAGTTTGGAAAAACTGTTATTGTCCATTTTGTGAATGGATATTTTGGAGCTCACTGATGTCAATGATGAAAAAGCAAATATCACAAGATAAAATCTAGAAAGAAGCTATCTGGAAACTGCTTTGTGATGTGTGCATTCACATCACAGAGACAAACGTTTCCTTTCATTCAGTAATTTGGAAACACTGTTTTTGTCCATTCTGGAAATGAACTATCGTAAGCTCATTGAGGCCAAAGGTGAAAAAGCGAATATTCCAGGATAAAACCTTGAAGGAAGCTATCTGAGAAACCACTTTGTGATGTGTGCATTCATCTCACAGAGTTAACATTTCTATATGTTTAGCAGTTTCAAAACACTATTTTGTAGAATATGCAAAGGGATATGTGGGAGCGCATCAAAGCCTCTGGTGAAAAAAAAATCCTCAGAAAGGAACTAGAAAAAAGCTTTCTGAGAAACTGGTTTTTGATGTGGGTATTCATCTTAAAGAGTTAAACCTTTCTTTTGATTCAGCAGTTTGCAAGCACTGTTTTTCTCCTTTCCACGAATGGACATTTTGGAGCTCATTGAGGCCAATGGCGAAAAAGCAAATATCCCAGTATAAAAAGTAGAAGGACACAGATTTGTGATGTGTGAATTCATCTCACAGATTTAAATTTTCTTTTGAATCAGCAATTTGGAAACACTATTTTTGTAAAACCTGTGAAGGGATATTTGGAAGTGCATGGAGGCCTATGGTGAAAAAAACTATTTTCAGATAAAAACTAGAAAGAAACTTTCTGAGAAACTGCGTTTTGATATGTGCATTCATCTCACAGATTTAAAATTTTCTTTTGATTCAGCAGTTTGGAAACACTGTTTCTGTCCATTCTATGAAAGGACATTTGAAAGCTCATCAAGGCCAACAAAGACAAAGAGACTATCCCAGGAAAACAACTGGAAAGAAGCTATCTGAGAAACTGCTTTGTTATGTGTGCATTCATCTCACAGATCTACATCTTTCTTTGGTTCAGCAGTTTGGAAACACTGTTTCCGTCCATTCTGCAAAAGGATATATGAAGGCTCATTGAGGCCAATGGTGAAAAAGCTAATATCCAAGGATAAAAACTGGAAGGAATCTATCTGAAAAAATGCTTTGTGATGTCTGCATTCATCTTGCAGAGTTAAACTTTTTTTTTGATTGAGTTGTTCGGAAACTCTGTTTTTGTCCATTCTGCAAGTGGACACTTAGAAACTCATTGAGGCCAATTGCAGAAAAGTGAATATCCCATTATAAAAGCTAGTATGAAGCTATCTGAAATACTGCTTTGTGATGTGTGCACTCATCTTGCAGAATTAAACTTGCCTTTTCATTCAGCAGTTTGGAAGCACTGTTTTTGTAGAATCTTCAAAGGGATATTTGGGAGTGCATTGAGGCCTACATTGAAAAGGAAAATATCTTCAGATAAAAACTGGAAGGAATATCCCAGGAAAAAACCTAGAAGAACCTATCTGAGAAACTGCTTTACAAAGTGTGCATTCATCTACCAGAATTAAATCTTTTTTTCATTCAACAATATGGAAACACTGCTTTTGTAGAATCTGTGAAGGGATATTTTGGAGTGTCTTGAAGTCTATGGTGAAAAAGAAAGTAAATTCAGATAAAAACTAGAAGAAGTTTTCAGATAAACTGCTTTCTGATGTGTGCATTCATTCCACAGAGTTAAATATTTATTTGATTCAGCAGTTTTGAAACACTGTTTTTGTCCATTCTGTGAATGGACATTTGGAAGCTTATTGAGGCCAATGTTGAAACAGCAAATATCCCAAGATTAAAACTACAATAAAGCAGTGTGAGAAACTGCTTGGTGATATGTGCATTCATCTAGCAGAGATAAATCTTTCTTTTTGATTCAGCTGTTTGGAAACACTGTGATTGTCAATTCTCCGAATGGACACTTGGTATGTCATTGAGGCCAATGGAGAACAAATGAATATCACAGGATAAAAACTAGTAGGAAAATATCTGAGAAAACCCTTTGTGATGTACGCATTCATCTGGCAAAATTAATCCTTTATTTCATTCAGCAGTTTGGAAGCACGGTTTTTGGAGAATCTGCAAAGGGATCTTAGGGAGCACATTCAGGCCTACAGTGGAAAAGAAAATATCTTCAGGTAAAAACTAGAAAGAAGGTTTTGGTGAAACAGCTTTGTGATGTGTGCTTTCATCTCACAGAGTTAACCATTTTATCATTCAGCAGTGTGGAAACACTGTGTTTGGAGAATCTTTGAGGTTATATTTGGGAGCACATTGAAGCTAATTGTGAAAAAGAAAGTATATTCAGGTAAAAACTAGAAAGAAGCTCTATAAGAAACTGCTTTGTGATGTCTGCATTCATCTCACAGAATTAAACTTTTCTTTTGATTCAGCACTTTGGAAACACTGTTTCTGTCCATTCTGCAAATGGACATTTTGGAGCTCATTGAGGCCAGTGTTGAAAAAGTAAATAACCCAGGATAAAATCTAGAATGAAGCTATCTGGAAACCGCTTTCTGGTGTGTGCATTCATCGCACAAAGATAAAATTGTTTTTTCATTCAGCAATTAGGAAACATTGTTTTTGTCCATTCTGTGAATGGACATTTGGGAGCTTATTGAGGCCAATGGCAAAAAGGTGAATTTTCCAGGATAAAAACTAGAAGGAAGCTATAGAAGAAACCACTTTGTGACGCGTGCATTTATCTCACAGAATTAACTTTCCTATACATTCAGCAGTTTGGAAACACTATTTTTGTAGAATCTACAAAGGGATATGTTGTACTGCATCGAAGGCTCTGGTGAAAAAAAAATATCCTCAGACAAAAACTAGAGAAAAGCTTTCTGAGAAACTGGTTTTTTAGGTTGGCATTTATCTCATAGAGTTAAGCCTTTCTTTTGATTCAGCAGTTTGCAAACACTGTTTTTGTCTATTCTGCAAATGGACATTTGGGAGCTCATTGAGGCCAATTGAGAAAAAGCAAATATTCCAGGATTAAAACTAGAAGGAAGCTCTCTGAGAAACTGCTTTGTGATGTGTGCATTCATCCCTTTTCATTCAGCTGCTGGGAAACACTGTGTTTTTAGAATCTGCAAAGGGATATTTGGGAGGGCATTGAGGCCTATGGTGAAAAAGAAAATATCTTCAGATAAAAACTAGAAAGAAGCATTCTGCTCTGTGTTGTGTGCATTAATCTCACAGAGTTAAACTTTTCCTTGATTCACCAGTTTGGAAACACTCTTTCAGTCCATTCCGTGAAGGGACGCTGGGGAGCTGATTGAGGCCAATGGCAAAAAGGCGAGTATCCCAGGACAAAAACAAGAAAGAAACTATCTGACAAACGGCTTTGTGATGTGTGCTTCATCTCACAGAGATAAACCATCCTCTCATTCAGCAGTCTGAAAACTCTATTTTTCTAAAATCTGCAAAGGGATATTTGGGAGTACATTTTGTCCTATTGTGAAAAAGAAAATATCTTCAGGTAAAAGCCAGAAAGAAGCTTTTTGTGAAACTGCTTTCTGATGTGTGCATTGATCTCACGGAGCGAAAACTTTCTTTTGATTCAGGAGTTTGGAAACACTGTTTCTGTCCATTCTGTGAATGGACTTTTGAAAAGTCATTGAGGTCAATCATGAAAAAGTGAATATCCCAGGATAAAAACAAAAGGAAGCTATCTGAGAAACCGCTTTGTGATATATGCATTCATCTCACAGAATTAAAATTTGCTTTTCCTTCATTAGTTTGGAAACACTGTTTTTGCAGAATCTGTGAAGGCAAATTTAGGAGCATGTTGAGGCCTACAGTGGAAAAGAAAGTAAATTCAGATAAAAACGAGAAAGAAGCTGTCTGAGAAACTGCTTTGTAATGTGTGCATTCGTTTCACAGTGTTGAACTTTTCTTTTAATTCACCAGTTTGGAAACACTGTTTTTGTCCATTCTGCAAATGGATATTTGGCAGCTCAGTGAGGCCAAAGGAGAAACAGTGAATATCCCATGATAAAAACTACAATGAAGTTATCTGGGAGACTGCCCTGTGATATGTGCATTCATCTCTCATTGTTAAAGGTTTCTTTTGATTCAGCAGTTTGGAAACACTGTTTTTTTAGTATCTTTGAAAGGCTATGTGGGGAGCATTGAGGCCTGTGGTGAAAACAAAATATCTTCAGATTAAAAACTGGAAAGAAGCTTTCTGAGAAACTCCTTTTGATGTTTGCATTCATCTCACAGAGTTAAAACTTTCTTTTCATTCAGCAGTTTGGAAACACTCTTTTTCTCCATCCTGCTATTGGACATTTCAGAGCTCAATGAGGCCGATGGCAAAAAAGTGAATATCCCAGGACAAAAACAAGAAGAAAGCTATCTGAGAAACCGCTTTGTCACATGTGCATCCATTTAGCAGAGTTAAGCTTTTCTTTTGCATTCAGATGTTTGGAAATAATGTTTTTCTAGAATCTGTGATGGGATTTTTGTGAGCTCATTAAGGCCTATGGTGAAAAAGGGAATATCACAGAACAAAAACTAGAAGGAAGCTATCTGAGAAACTACTTTGTGATGTGTAAAACTGTCGTTTCATTCAGCACTTTGGAAACACTGTTTTTGTAGAATCTGAGAAGTGATATTTGGGAGTGCATTGGGGCATGTGGTGGAAAAGAAAATATCTTCAGATAAAAACTAGAAAGAAACTTTTTGAGAAACTGCTTTGCAATGTGTGCATTCATCTCACAGAGGTAAAACCTTCTTTGGATTCAGCAATTTGGAAACACATTTTTTGTACATACTGTGAATGGATATTTGGGAGCTCTTTGAGGCCAATGTTGAAAAAGTAAATATTCCTAGATAAAAATTAGCAGGAAGGTAACTGAGAAATAACTTTGTGATAGGTGCATTCATGTCACAGACTTAAAACTTACTTTCGAGTCAGCCTTTTGGAAAAAGAGTTTATGTCCATTCTGAGAATGGAAATTTGCATGCCCATTGAGGCCATTGCAAAAAACTGAATATCCCAGGATAAAAAGTAGAATTAACCTATCTGGAAACCGCTTTGTGATGTATGCATTCACCTGGCAGTGTTAAAACATTCTTTTGATTTAGCAGTTTGGAAACACTGTTTTCATTCATTCTGTGAATGGACATTTGGTTGCTCATTGATGCCAATTTCAAAAAAGTGAATAACCCAAAACAGAAACAACAAAGAAGCTATCTGAGAACCCACTTTGTGATGTGTGTATTCATCTCACAGTTAAACCTTTCTTTTCATTTAGAAGTTTGAAAACATTGTTTTTGTAGAATCTGCGAAGTGATAATTTGCAGTGCATTGAGGCCTGTGGTGAAAAAGGAAATATCTTCAGAAAGAAGCTTTCTGAGAAACTGCTTTTTGATGTGTGCATTTATCTCACAGAGTTAAACATTTCTTTTGATTCAGCAGTTTGGAAACTGATGCCTATATTGAAAAGAATATGTTTATATAAAAACTGGAAAGAAACTTTCTGAGCAACTACTTTGTGACGTATGAATGATGTATGAATTCATCTCACAGAATTAAACCTTTCTTTTGATTTAATAGTATTGAAACACTGTTTTTGCCAATTCTGCAAAAGCAGATTTTGGAGCTCATTGAGGGCAATGATGAAAAAGTGGATATAACAGCATAAAAACTAGAAGGAAGCCATGTGAGACACAGCTTTGGGCTGCATGCATTCATATCCCAGAGATAAAACTGTCTTTCACTAAGTAGTTTGGAAACACTGTTTTTGTAGAAACTGTGAAGAGACATTTAGGAGCACAATGAGATCTATGGTAAAAAAGAAAATATCTTCAGATAAGAATTAGAAAGTAGTTTTATAAGAAAATGCTTTATGATGTGTTCATTCATCTTACAGAGTTAAACCTTTCTTTTGATTCACTAGTTTGGAAACACTTTTTGTCCATTCTGAAAATAAACATTTGTAGTCTCACTGAGGCCAAAGGTGAAAAAGGAAACATCCCAGAATAAAAACTAGAAGGAAGCAATCCTACAAACTGCTCTGTGATGTGTGCATTGATTACAGAGAGTTAAACCTCTCTTTGGATTAAGCAGTCCGGAAACACTGTTTTTGTCCATTCTGCTAATGTACATTTGGGAGCTCGTTGAGGACAGTGGTGAAAAAGGAATAACCCCAGATGACAATTAGGAGGAAGCTATCTGAGAAACTGCTTTGTGATGGATGTGGGCATTCATCTCACAGAGTTAAACCTTTCTTTTCATTCAGCAGTTGGAAACACTGTTTTTGTCCATTCTGTGAATGGACATTTGGGAGCTCATGGAGGCCAAAGTTAAGTAGCAAATGTTCCCTGATAAAACTGGAAGGAACCTATATGAGAAACTGCTTCGGTTATGTGCATACCTCACACAGAATTAAACCTTATTGAGGAGTTTGGAAACACTGTTTTGCAGAATCTGCAAAGGGATATTTTGCAGTGCATTGAGGCCTGTGGTGAAAAAGGAAACACCTTCAGATAAAAACTAGAAAGAAGCTTTCTGAGAAACTGCATTTTTATGTGTGCATTTATCTCACAGTGTTAAACATTTCTTTTGATTCAGCATTTTGGAAACACTGTTTTTTTTTTTTTACATTATGTGAATGGACGTTTTAGGACTCATTGAGGCCAATAGCGAAAAAGTGAATATCCGTGGCTATTCACTAGAAGGAAGCTATCTGAGAAACTGCTTTGTGATGTGTGCATTCACCTCACAGAGTTAAACCTTTGTTTTGATTCTGCTGTTTGGTAACACTGTTTTTGTAGAAACTGCAAAGGAATATTTGGATGTGCATTGAAGTCTATGGTGAAAATGAAAATATCTTCAGATAAAATCTAGAAAGAAGCTTTCTGAGAAACTGCTTTGTAATGTGTGCATTTATCTCATGAAGTTAATATTTTCTTTTGATTCAATAGTTTGGAAACACTGTTTATTTCCATTCTGTGAATGGATGGAGCTCATTGAGTCAAATGGCAAAAATGGGAATATCCCAGGATAAAAACTACAAGGAAGCTAACGGTGAAACCACTTTTTGATGTGTGCATTCATCTCGCAGATTTAAACCTTTATTTCTTTCAGAAGTTAGGAAATACTGTTTTTGTAGAATCTGCAAAGGGATATTTGGGATCCTGCTGAGGCCTATTTTGAAAAAGAAAATAACCTCAGATGAAAACTAAAAAGAAGCATTGTGAAACTGCTTTGAGATGTGTGCATTCATCTGACAGAGTTAATCCATTCTTTTCACTCAGAAGTTTGGAAACAGTGTTTTTGTAGAATGTGTGAGAGTATATTTTGAAGTGCATTGAGGCGTATGGTGGAAAAGGAAATATCTTAAGATAAGAACAAGACAGAAGCTTTCTGAGAAACTGCTTTTTGATATGTGCATTCATCTCACAGAGTTGAACATTTGTTTTGATTTAGCAATTTGGAAACCCTCTTTTTGTCCATTCTATGAATGGAAATTTGGGAACTCATTGAAAACAATGGGGAAAGTGAATATCCCAGGGTAAATATAGAATAAGAATATCTGAGAAACTGCTTTGTGATGGATGTGGGCATTCATCTCACAGAGTTAAACCTTTCTTTTCATTCAGCAGTTGGAAACAGTGTTTTTGTCCATTCTGTGAATGGACATTTGGGAGTTCATGGAGGCCAAAGGTTAAGTAGCAAATGTTCCCTGATAAAACTGGAAGGAACCTATATGAGAAACTGCTTTGGTTATGTGCATACATCACACAGAATTAAACCTTATTTTCTTTCAGCAATATGGAAACACTGTTTTTGTGGAATCTGCAAGGGGATATTTTAGAGCATATTAAGGCATATGGTGAAAAATAAAATATCTTCAGATAAAAAGTAGAAAAAAGCTTTCTGAGAAGCTGCTTTGTTATGTGCGCTTTCAACACA
Organism: Homo sapiens; assembly: GCF_000001405.40. Classification (NCBI taxonomy): domain Eukaryota; kingdom Metazoa; phylum Chordata; class Mammalia; order Primates; family Hominidae; genus Homo; species Homo sapiens. The sequence goes on along the minus strand of NT_187383.1, from coordinate 328,425 downwards.
CAGAGTTAAACCTTTCTTTTGATTCAGCAATTTGGAAACACCATTTTTATCTATTTGGAGAATGGACATTTAGGAACTCTTTGCAGCCAATGGCGAAAAAGTGAATATCCCAGGATAAAAACTACAAGAAAGTTTTCTGAGAACCAGCTTTGTGATGTGAGCATTCATCTCACAAAGTTAAACCTTTCTTTTGATTCAGCAGTTTGGAAACACCGTTTTTATCTATTCAGAGAATGGACATTTCAGATCTCTTTGAGCCCCAAAGTGAAAAAGCGAATCTCCCATGATAAAAAACAGAAGGAATCTATCTGATAAACTGCCTTGTGATGTGTACATTCACCTCAAAGAGTTAAACTTTTCATTCAGCAGTTTGGAAAAACTGTTTTGGTAGAATCTGCAAAGGTGTACTTGGGAGCGCGTTGGGGCCAAACTAGAAGTTTCCTTTTAGTTTTTATCTGATGATACTTTCTTTTTCACCAGAGGTCTCAATGTGCTCCCACCTATCCCCTCGCAGAGACTACAAAAACAGTGATTCCAAACTGCTGAATGAAAATAAAGGTTTCAGTCTGTGGGATGAATGCACATATCACAAAGCCATTTCTCATATAGCTTCTTTCTAGTTTTCATCCTGGGATATTCACTTTTTCACCTTTGGCCTCCATGAGCTCCCAAATGTCCATTCACAGAATGGACAAAAACAGTGTTTCCAAACTGCAGAAAGAAAAGAAAGGTTTCAATATGTGGGATGAATGCGCACATCACAAAGCAGCTTCTCAGATAGATTCCTTCTCATTTTTATCTGGGATTTTTGATTTTTCCCCGTTGGCCTCAGTGAGCTCTCAAATGTTCATTTGCAGAATGGACAAAAACAATTTCCAAACTGCTGTATAAAAAGAATCTTTATCTCTGTGAAATGAAAACACAAATCATTAAGAGGTTTGTCAGAGTGCTTCCTTCTAGTTTTTATCCTAGGATATTCCCTTTTTCACCATTGGCCTCAACAAGCTCCAAATGTCCATTCACAGAATGGACAGTGTTTCCAAACCAAGGAATCAAAAGAAAAGTTTATCTTTGTGAGATGAAGGCACCCTTCACAAAGCAGTTTCTCAGAAACCTTCTTTCTAGTTTTTATCTGAAGATATTTTATTTTTCACCATCGGCCTCAATGTGCTCCCAAATATCCCTTTGCAGATTCTACAAAAACAGCGTTTCCAAACAGCTGAATGAAAAAAAAGTTTAACTCTGTGAGATGAATGCACACATCACAAAGTGGTTTCTCAGATAGCTTCCTTGTAGTTTTCATCTGGGCATATTTTCTTTTTCACCATTGGCCTCAATGAGCTCCCAAATATCCATTCAGAGTATGGACAAACACAGTGATTCCAAACTGCTGCATGAAAAGAAAGGTTTAACACTGTGAGATGAATGCACACATCACAAAGTAGTTTATCAAAAATCTTCTGTCTAGTTTTTATCTGAAGATATTTTCCTTTTCAGCATAGGCCTCAAGGCACTAGCTAATATTCCTTCACAGATTCTACAAAACAGTGTTTCCAAACTGCTGAATGAAAAAGAAGTTTTAACTCTGCGTGATGAATGTACACATCACAGAGTGGTGTCTCAGATAGCTTCCTTTTCGTGTTTATCCTGGGACATTTGCTTTTTCACCATTGGCCTCAATGAGCTCCCAAATGTTCATTCGGATCATGGACAAACACAGTGATTCCAAACTGCTGCCTCAAAGGAAATGTTTAAATCTGTGAGATGAATGCACACATAACAAATTGCTATCTCACATAGCTTCCCTCTACTTTTTGTCTTGGGATATATGCGTTTTTGCCATGGGCCACAATGAGCTCCCAAATGTCCATTCACAGATTGGAAAAACAGTGTTTCCAAACAGCTGAATCAAGAGTAAGGTTTAACTCTGTCAGATGAATGCATACTTCACAAGGTAGTTTCTCAGAAACCATCTTTCTATTTTTTATCTAAAGGTATTTTCCTTTTCACCATAGGCCTCAAAGCACTCGCAAATATCCCTTTGTAGTTTGTACAAAAACAGTGCTTCCAAACTGCTGAATGAAAAGAAAGGCTTAAAGGACTTTGTGAGATGAATGGACACTTTGTAAAGCAGCTTCCCAGACAGCTTATTGTAGTTTTTTTCCTGGCATATTCACTTTTTCACCTCCAGCCTCAATGAGCTCCCAAATGTCCATTCACAGAAAAGACAATAGCAGTGTTTCCTAACTGCTGAATCAAAAGAATGTTTTAATTCTGTGAGAAGAATGCACACATCACAAAGCAGTTTCTCGGAAAATTTCTTTTTAGTTTTTATCTGAATATATTTCTTCAACATATGCCTCATTACATTCCCAAGTATCCCTTCGCAGATTCTACAAAATCAGTTTTTCCAAACTTCTGAATGAAAGGAATGTTTTAACTCTGTGAGATGAATGCACACATCACAAAGCAGTTTCTCAGAAACCTTCTATCCAGTTTTTTTTCTGAAGTTATTTTCTTTCTCATCATCAGCCTAAATGTGGTCCCAGATGTCCATTCGCAGAATGAAAAAAACAGTGTTTCCAAACAGCTGAATAAAAAGAAAGGTTTACCTAGGTGCAGTGAATGCAGACATCACAAAGAAGTTTATCAGAAAGCTTCTTCATAGTTTCTATAATGGGACATTCGATTTTTCACCATTGGACTCAATGAGCTCCCAAATATCCATTCAAACAGTGGACAAAAACGGTATTTCCAAACTGCTGAATGAAAAGAAAGTTTTAACTCTGCCAGATGAATGCATACATTGCAAGTCTGTTTCTCAGATAGCTTCCTTCTAGTTTTTATCCTGGTATATTCGTTGTTTCTCCATTGGTCTCCATGAGCTCTGAAATGTCCACTCGCAGAATGGAAAAAAAAAGTTTTTCCAAACCACTGAATCAAAAGAAAATTTTAACTATGTGTGATGAATTCACATATCACAAAACAGTTTCTCAGAAAGTTTTTTTCCAGTTTTTATCTGAGGGTATTTTGTTTTTCACCATAGGCTTCAATGCACTCTGAAATATCCCCTTGCAGATTCTTCAAAAACAGTGCTTCCAAACTGCTGAATGAAAAAAAAAGGTTTAAATCAGGGAGATGAATTCACATATAATGAAGCGGTTTCTCACATTTCTTCTTTCAAATTTTTAGTTGAAGAGATTTTCTTTTTCATCACAGACCCCACTGTGCTCCAAAATATAACTTCAAAGATACTACAAAAACAGTGTTTCCAAACAGCTGAATTAAAAGAGATGTTTACCTCTACGAGATGAATACACACATCAAAAAGCAGTTTCTCAGATTGCTTCCTCTTAGTTCTTATCCTGGGACATTCGCCTTTTCACCATTGACCTCAATAAGCTCCCAAATGTCCATTCACTGAATAGATAAAAGAGTGTTTCCAAACTTCTGAATCAAAATAAATGGTTAACACTGTGAGCTGAATGTGCTCATCACAAAGCAGTTTCTCAGAGAGATTCTTCCTAGTTTTTATCTGAAGATATTTTCCTTATCACCATAGGCCTCAAAGCAACCCCAGATATCCTTTTGCAGGTTCTGCAAAAAGAGTGTTTCCAAACTGCTGAACAAAATGAAAGTTTTAAATCTGTGATATGAATGCACACATCAGAAAGTACTTTCTCAGATAGCTTCCTTCTAGTTTTTATCTTGGGGTATTCACTTTTCACCATTGGATTGAATGAACTCCAAAAAGTCCATTCACAGAATGGACAAAAACTTTTTCCACACTGCTGAATCAAATGAAAGGTTTATCTCTGTGAGATGAATGCCCACATCACAAAGTAGTTTCTCAGAAATTTCTGTCTAGTTTTTATCTGAATTTATATTGTTTTTCACCATTGGCCTCAGTGAGCTCCTAAATGTCCACTCACAGGTTCTACAAAAACAGTGTCTTTAAACTGCTGAATGAAAAGAAAGATTTAACTCCTCGAGCTGAATGAACACATCAAAAAGCAGTTTCTCAGATACCTTCCTTCTAGTTTTTATCCTGGGGTATTCCCTTTCTTTGCCATTGGCCTCAGAGAACTCCAAAATGTGCTTTCACACAATGGACAAAAAGAGAGTTTCCATATTACTGAGAAAGGTTTAACTCTGTGAGATGAATGCACACATCACAAAGCACACATCACAAAGCAGTTTCTCAGAAAGCTTTTTTATAATTTTTATCTGAAGATATTTTCTTTTTCACCACATGCCTCAATGCCCTCCTAAATATCCCTTCGCAGATGCTACAAATACAGTGTTTCCAAACAGCTGAATAAAAAGAAAGGTTTACCTCAGCCAGATGAATACACACATCACAAAGCAGTTTATCAGATAGGTTCTTCATAGTTTTTATCATGGGACATTCGATTTTTCACCATTGGACCCAAAGAGCTCCCAAATGTCCATTTGCAGAATGGACAAAAACAGTGTTTCCAAAAGGTTGAATGAAAAGAAAAGTTCAATTCTTCGAGATGAGTGTACACATCACAAAGAAGTTTCTCAGACAGCTTTCTCTTAGTTTTTATATTGGGGCATTTTGTTTCTCACTTTTGGCTTCAATGAGCTCCCTAATATCCATTTGCAGAATGGATAAAAGCAACGATTCCAAAATGCTGAATCAAAAGAAAGGTTCACCTCTGTGAGCTGAATGCACACATCACAAAGCAGTCACACAGAAAACTTTTTTCTATATTTTATCCGAGGACATTTTCTTTTTCACCATAGTCCTCAACGTGCTCCCAAATATCCATTCACAGATTCTACAAAAATGGTAGCTCCAAACTGCCTAATGAAAAAAAGGTTTAACTCAGGGAGTTGAATGCACACATCACAAAGCAGTTTCTCAGATAGATTCCTCTTATTTTTTATCCTTGGACATTCTCTTTTTCCCCATTGGCCCCAATTTTCTCCCAAATGTCCATTCACAGAATGGACAAAAAGAGTGATTCCAAACTGCTGAATCAAAACAAAGGTTTAACTCAGTGAGATGAATGCACACATCATAAAGAAGTTTCTCAGAATGATTCTTTCTAGTTTTTATCTGAAGATATTTACTTTTTCACCATAGGCCTCAATATGCTCCCAAATATCCCTCTGCAGACACTACTAGAAGGAAGATAGCTTCCTTCTAGTTTTTATCCTGGGATATTCCCTTTTTCTCCATTGCTCTCAATGAGCTCCCAAATGTCCAATCACAGAATGGGCAACAACAGTGTTTCCAAACTGCTGAACGAAAAGAAAAGAAAGTTTTAACTCTGCAAGATGAATATACACATCAGAAAGCGGTTTCTCATATAGCTTCCTCTCAGTTTTAATCCTGAGACATTCACCTTATCACCATTGGCCTCACAGTGCCCCCAAATATCCATTCGCAGAATGGACTGAAACAGTGTTCCAAGGTGCTGAATCATAAGACAATTTTAACTCGGTGACATGAATGCATACATCTCAAAGCACTTTCTCAGAAAGATACATTCTAGTTATTACCTGAAGACATTTTCTTTGCCATAATAGGCCTCAGTCAGCTGTGAAATGTCAATTCGCAGATTCTACCAAAAAATGTTTTCCAACTGCTGCATGAAAATAAAGATTTAACTCCTCAATTGAATGCACACATCACAAAGCGGTTTCTCAGATAGCTTCTTTCTAGTTTTTATGCTGGGATATTTGCTTTTTAGCCATTCACCTCAATCATCCCTCAAATGTCCATTCACAAAATGGACAAAAAAACCGTTTCCAAAGTGCTAAATGAAAAGAAAAGTTTAACAATGTGAGATGAATGCACATATCACAAAGCGGTTTCTTGGATAGCTTATTTCTAATTTTTATCCTTGGGTATTTGCTTTTTCAACATTGGACTCAGTGAGCTCCCAAAGGTCCATTCACAGAATGGACAGAACACTTTTTCCAAACTGCCAAGTGAAAAGAACTGTTTGACACTGCAAGATGAATGCACACATCACAAAGAGTTTCCTCAGATAACTTCTCTCTAATTTCCTTTTTTGCCATAGGCCTCAATGAGCTCCCAAATATCCCTTTGCAGATGCTACAAAAAAAGTGTTTCTAAACTACTGAATGACAAGAAAGGTTTCACTTTGTGGGATGAATGCACACACCACAAAGCGGTTTCACAGATGGATTCCTTCTACTTTTTATCTTGGGATTTTCAAGTTTTTCCTTTTGGCGTCAGTGAGATCCCAAATGTCCACTCACAGAATGGACAAAAGCAGTGTTTCCACACTGCCGAGTCAAAGGAATGCTTTAACTAAGTGAGATAAATGCACACATCACAAAGGAGTATCTCAGAAAGTTTCCTTCTACTTTTTATGTGAAGATATTTTCTTTTTCACAATAGGCTTCAATGTGCACCCAAATATCCATTTGCAGTTTCCTCAAAAACAGTGTTTCTAAACTGCTGAATGAAAAGTATGGCTTTACTCTGTGAGATGAAAGCACAAGTCACAAAACGGTTTCTCAGATAGCTTCTTCTAGTTTTTATAATAGGATATTCACTTTTTTGCCTTGGGCCTCAAATAGCTCCAAAATGTCCACTCACAGAGTGGACAAAAAGAGTGTTTTCAAACTGCTAAATAAAAAGAAATGTTTATCTCTGTGAAGTGAATGCAAACATCACCAAGCAGTTTCTCAGAAAACTTCTTTCTCGTTTTTATCTGAAGATATTTTCTTTTTCACCATAGGCCTCATTAGGCTCCCAAATATCCCTTCGCAGATTCTACAAAAAGAGTGTTTCCAAACTGCTGGATAGAAAAAAAGTTTAACTCTGTGAGATGAATGCACACATCACAAAGCGGTTTTTCAGATAATTTCTTTTAGTTTTTATCCTGGGTTATTTGCTTTTTCACCATTCGCCTCAATGAGCTCCCAAATATTCACTCACAGAATGGACAAAAACAGTTTTTCCAAACTCCTAAATGAAAAGAAAGGTTTAACTCTGCAAGGTGAATGCACATATCACAAAGCAGTATCTCAGATAACTTCCTTTGCATTATTATCCTGGGAGAGTCGCTTTTTTGCCTTTGGCCTCAATGAACTCCCAAATGTCCATTCAGAGTAGACAATCACAGTCTTTCCAAACTGCTGAATCAAAAGAAAGGTTTAATGCTCTGAAATGAATGCACTCATCATGAAGTGGTTTCTCAGATTGCTTCCTTCTGGTTTTTATCCTGGGATGTTCGCTCTTTCACCCTTGGCCTCAATGAGCTCCCAAATGTCCATTTGCAGAATGGACAAAAACAGTGATTCCAAACTGCTGAATCAAAAGAAAGGTTTAACTCTGTGGGATGAAGGCAAACATCACAAAAAGTTTCTCAGATAGCTTCCTTCTAGTTTTTATCCTGGGATATACCCCTTTTCACCATGGGACTTAATGAGTTCCAAAATGTCCATTCACAGAATGGACTAAAACAGGGTTTCCAAATTGGTGAGTCAAGAGTAAGGTTTAACTCTGTGAGATGAATGCACACATCACAAAGCAGTTTCTCAGAAAGATTCTTTCTAGTTTTTATCTGAAGTTATTTTCTTTGTCAATATAGGCATCAATGCGCTCCCAAGTATCCCTTTACTATTCTAAAAAAACAGTGTTTCCAAATTGCTGAAGAAAAAGAAGGGTTTAATTCTGGTGATGAATGCACACTTCTTAAAGTGGTTCCTCAGATAGCTTCCTTCTAGTTTTTATCCTGTGATATTCGCTTTTTCACCATTGGCCTCAATGAGCTCCATAATGTCCTTTCACAGAATGGGCAAGAACAATGTTTCCAAACTGCTGCATCAAAAGAATGGTTTAACGCTGTGAGATGAATGCACACATCACAAAGAAGTTTCTCAGAAAGCTTCTTTCTAGTTTTTATCTGAAGACATTTTCTTTTTCAGCATAGGCCTCAATTTGCTCCAAAATATCTCTTCCCAGGTTATCCAAAAACAGTGTTTGCAAACTGATGAATGAAAAGAAAGTTTTAACTCTGTGAGATGAATGCACACATCACAAACCGGTTTCTAAGATAGCTATCCTCCAGTTTATATCTTGAGATATTGACTTTTCCGCCATTGTCCTCAATGAGCTCCTGAATACCACTTCAGAGATTCTACAAAAAAAGTGTTTCTAAACTGCTGAATGAAAAGTTATGTTTCACTCTGTGATATCAATGCACACATCACAAAGCAGAGTCTCAGATAGCTTCCTTCTAGTTTTTATCCTGCAGTATTCCCTTTTTCAGCATAGGCCTCAATGAGCTCAGAAGTGTCCATTCACAGAATGGACAAAACAGTGTTTCCAAACTGCTAAATCAAAAGGAAGGTTTAACTCAGTGAGATGAATGTACACATCACAAAGCACTTTCTCAGAAAGCTTCTTTCTGGTTTTTATCTGAGCTTATTTTTTTTCACCATAGGCCTCAATGTGCCCCCAAATATCCCTTCTCAGATTCTAAAAAAGAGTGTTTCAACACTGCTGAAAGAAATGAAAGATTTAACTCTGTGAGATGAATGAACAGAACACAACGTGGTTTCTCAGATAGCTTCCTTCTAGTTTTTACACTGGGATATTCCCTTTTGCACCATTGGTCTCAATGAGTTCCCAAATGTGCATTCACAGAATGGGCAAAAACAGGGTTTCCAAACTGCTGAATCACAAGAAAGATTTAACTATATGAGATCCATGCACACATCACAAAGCAGTTTCTCAGAATGCTTCTTTCTATTTTTTATCTGTAGCTATTTTCTTTTTCACCATAGGCTTCACTGTGATCCCAAATATCCCTTCACAGATTCTATAAAAACAGCGTTTCCAATCTGCTGAATGAAAAGAAAGATTTAACTCTCCAGGATCAATGCACACATCACAGAGTGGAGTCTCAGATAGCTTCCTTCCAGTTTTTATCCTGGGGCATTCGCTTTTTCACCATAGGCTTCAATGAGCTCAAAAATGTCCATTCACAGAATGGACAAAACAGTGTTTCCAAACTGCTAAATCAAAAGAAAGGTTTAACTCAGTGAGACGAATGTACACATCACAAAACACTTTCTCAGAAAGCTTCTTTCTCGTTTTTATCTGAGCATATTTCCTTTTCACCATAGGCCTCAATGTGCCCCCAAATATCCCCTCTCAGATTCTAAAAAAGAGTGTTTCAACACTGCTGAAAGAAATGGAAGATTTTGAATGAACAGACCACAACGTGGTTTCTCAGATACCTTCCTTCTAGTTTTTACACTGGGATATTCCCTTTTGCACCATTGGTCTCAATGAGCTCCCAAATGTGCACTCACAAAATGGGCAAAAACAGTGTTTCCAAACTGCTGAATCACAAGAAAGATTTAACTATATGAGATCTATTAATACAGCACAAAGCAGTTTCTCAGGACGCTTCTTTCTATTCTTTATCTGTAGCTATTTTCTTTTTCACCATAGGCTTCACTGTGATCCCAAATATCCCTTCGCAATTCTATAAAAACAGCATTTCCAATCTGCTGAATGAAAAGAAAGATTTAACTCTGCAGGATCAATGCACACATCACAGAGTGGAGTCTCAGATAGCTTCCTTCCAGTTTTTATCCTGGGGTATTCGCTTTTTCACCGTAGGCTTCAATGAGCTCACAAATGTCCATTTGCAGAATGGACAAAACAGTGTTTCCAAACTGCTAAATCAAAAGGAAGGTTTAACTCAGTGAGACGAATGTACACATCACAAAACACTTTCTCAGAAAGCTTCTTTCTCGTTTTTATCTGATCATATTTCCTTTTCACCATAGGCCTCAATGTGCCCCCAAATATCCCTTCTCAGATTCTAAAAAAGAGTGTTTCAACACTGCTGAAAGAAAAGAAAGATTTAACTCTGTGAGATGAATGAACAGAACACAACGTGGTTTCTCAGATAGCTTTCTTCTAGTTTTTATCCTGGGATATTCCCTTTTGCACTATTGGTCTCAATGAGCTCCCAAATGTCCATTTGCATAATGGGCAAAAACAGTGTTTCCAAACTGCTGAATCAAAAGAAAGATTTAACTATGTGAGATCTATGCACACATCACAAAGCAGTTTCTTAGAACGCTTCTTTCTGGATTTTATCTATAGATATTTTCTTTTTCACCATAGGCCTCACTGTGATCCCAAATATCCCTTCACAGATTCTATAAAAACAGCGTTTCCAATCTGCTGAATGAAAAGAAAGGTTTAACACTGCAGGATCAATGCACCCATCGCAGAGTAGTTTCTCAGATATCTTCCTTCTAGTTTTTATCCTGGGATATTAGCTTTTTCACCACTGACCTCAATGAGCTCCCAAATGTCCATTTGCAGAATGGACCAAAACAGTGTTTCTAAACTGCTGAATCAAAACAAAGTTTTAGCTTTGTGAGATGAATGCACACATCACAAAGCAGTTTCTCAGAAAGCTTCTTTCTAGTTTTTATCTGAAGATATTTTCCTTTTCACCATAGGCCTCAATGAGCTCCAAAATATCCCTTTGCAGATTCTACAAAACCGTGTTTCCAAACTGCTGAATGAAAAGAAATGTTTAAGTCATGAGACAAATGCACTTATCACAAATCGGTTTCTCAGATAGCGTTCTTTTCATTTTTATCCTTGGATATTTTCTCTTTGGCAATTGGCCTCAATGATCTCATAAATGTCCATTCACAAAATGGACAAAAACACTGTTTCCAAACTGCTGAATGAAAAGAAAATTTTAACTCTGTGAGATGAATGCACAAATCACAGAGCAGTTTCTCAGGTAGATTCCTTCACGTTTTTCCTGTTATATTCACTTTTACACTATTGGCCACAAAGAGCTCCTGAAAGTCCATTCACAGAATGCACAAAAGCAGTGTTTCCAAAATACTGAATCAAAAGAATGATTTAGCTCTGTAAGACGAATGCACACAGCACAAAGCTGTTTCTCAGAAAGGTTCCTTTTGGCTTTTATCCTAGGTTATTCACTTTTTTGCCATTTGCCTCAATGAGCTGCCAAATGTCCATTTGCAGAATGGACAAAAACTCTGTTTCCATACTCTGAATGAAAACAAAGTTTAACACTATGACAGGATGAAGTCTCAATTAGCTCCCAAATATCCATTTGAAGAATGGGGAAAAAAAATTTTTTCCAAACTCCTGAATCAAAAGGAAGGTTTAACTCTGTTAGATGAACACACACATCAGAAAGCATTTTCTAAGAAAGCTTCATTCTAGTTTCTGTGTGAAGATATTTTCTTTTTAACCAGAGGCATTGATGATCTCCCAAATATCCCTTCACAGATTCTACAAAAACAGTGTTTCCAAGTTGCTGAATGAAAATAAAGGTTTAACTCTGCGAGCTGAATGCACACATCACAAAGCAGTTTCTCAGATAGCATCCTTCTAGTTTATCCTGGGATATATGCTTTTTCACCATTGGCCTGAATGGGCTCGAAAATGTCCATTTGCAGAATGGACAAAAACAGTGTTTCCAAATGGTTTAATGAAAAGAAATGTTTATCTGTTTGCGATGAATGCACTCATCACAAAGCTGTTTCTCAGGTGGCTTCACTCTGGTTTTTATCCTGGGATACTTGCTTTTCCTCCACTGGCCTCATTGTGCTCCAAATATTCCTTCCCAGATTCTACAAAAACACTGTTTCCACACTGCTGAATGAAAGGAAAGGTTTAACACTACGAGATGAATGCACACATTGAAAAGCGGTTTCTCAGATAGATTCCTTTTAGTTTTTATCCTGGGATATTCGATTTTTCTCCATTGGCTTTGATGAGCTCCCAAATGTCCATTTGCAGAATTTACAAAAAAAGTGTTTCCAAACTGCTGAATCAAAAGAAATGTTTCTCTGTGAGATGAAATTACATATCAGAAAGCAGTTCCTCAGAAATCTTCCTTCTAATTTTTATCTGAGGATATTTTTCTTTTCACCATAAGCCTCAATGTGCTCCCAAGTATCCCTTCACAAATTCTTCACAAACAGTGTTTCCAAACTGCTAATGGAAAAGAATACTTAAACTCTGCAATATGAATGCACACATCCCAAAGCAGTTTCTCATAGCTTCCTTCTGGGTTTTTACTTTTGGATATTCTCTTTTCTGCAATTGGTCTCAATGAGCTCCCAAAATCCATTCGCAGAATGGACAAAAACAGTGTTTCCAAACTGCTGAATGAAAAGAAATGTTTACCTCTGCGAGATGAATGCACACATCAGAAAGCAGTTTCTCAGATAGCTTCCTTCTAGTTTTTATCCTGGGATATACACTTTTTCACCTTTGGCCTAAATGATCTCCCACATCTCCATTCACTGAATGGAAAAAAAAACAGTGTTTGCAAACTGCTGAATCAAAAGAAAGTTTAAACTCTGCGAGATCATTGCACACATCACAAAGCAGTATCTCAGAAAGCTTTATTGTAGTTTTCTTCTGAAGATATTTTGTTTTTCACCTTAGACCTCAATGCCCTCCCAAATATGCCTTTGTAGGTTCTAAAAAAAGTGTTTCCAAACTGCTAAATGAAAAGAAAGCATTGACTCTATGAGACCATCAAAAAGCGGTTTCTCAGATAGCTTCATTCTGGTTTTTATCCTGGGATGTGCACTCTTTTGCCATTGGCCTCAGAGCTCCCTAATATGCATTCGCAGAAGAGACAAAAATAGTGTTTCCAAACTGCTGAATCAAAAGAAAGGTTTAACTCTATGAGTTGAAGGAACCCATCACAAAGAAGTTTTTCTGAAAGCTTCTTTCTAGATTTAATCTGAAGATAATTTTTTTACCATAGGCCCCATTATGCTCCTAAATACCCCTTAGCAGATTTTATAAAAGCAGTTTTTCCAAACTAATGAATGAAAATAAAGGATTAACTCTATGAGAAGAAGGCAGACATCACAAAGCAATTTCTCAGGTCGCTTCCTTCTAGTTTTTATCCTGCAATATTTGCTTTTTCAGCATTGGCCTAAATGAGCTCCCAAATGTATGTTCCCAGAATATGCAAAAACAGTATTTACAAACTGCCAAATCAAAAGGAAAATTTATCTGTGTGCAACGAATGCACATATCACAAAGCTATTTCTCAGGTAGCTTAGTTCTGGTTTTTATCCTGGGATATTCACTTTTCCTCCATTGGCCTCAATGAGCTCCCAAATGTCCATTCACAGAAGGGACAAAAACACGGTTTCCAAACTGCTGAATCAAAAAAAAGGTTTAACTCTGTGAGATGAAGGAACTTATCACAAATCAGTTTCTCAGAAGGCTTCTTTCTAGTTTAAATCTGAAGATATTTTCTTTTTCACCATGGGACCAAATGTGCTCCCAATTACCCCTTCACAGATTCTACAAAAACAGTGTTTCCAAACTGCTGAATGAAAAGAAAAGATTACCTCTACAAGATGAAGGCAGACATCACAAAGCTTTTTCTCAGATGGCTTTCTTCTAGTTTTTACCCTGGGATATTCACTTTTTCACCATTGGCCTCAATGAGCTGCCAAATGTACATTCACAAAATGGAGAAAAACAGTGTTCCCAATTGCTGAATCAAAAGAAAAGTTTAACTGTGTGAGATGAAGGAACACATCACAAAGCAGTTTCTCACAAAGCTTCTTTCTAGTTTTATGCTGAAGATATTTTCTTTTTCACCAGAGGCTCCAATGCCCTCCCCCAAATATCTCTTCACAGATTCATCAAAAATAGTGTTTCCAAACTGCTGAAGGAAAAGAATGGTTTAACTCCACGAGATGAATGCAAACATCTCAAAGCAATTTCTCATAGCTTCCTTCTGGGTTTTTATTTTTGGATATTCGCTTTTTTACTATTGGCCTCAATGAGCTCAAAAATCAATTCACAGAATGGACAAACACAGTGTTTCCAAACTGCTGAATGAAAAGAAACATTTTTCTCAGAGAGATGAATGAGCATATGACAAAGTGGTTTCTCCAATAGCTTCTTTCCAGTTCTTACCCTGGTATATTCTTTTTTTCACCGTTGGCCTCAAAGAGCTCCCAAATGTCCATTCATATAATGGACAAAAACAGGGTTTCCAAACTGCTGAATCAAAAGAATGGTTTAACTCTGTGAGATGCATGCACAAATCCCAAAGCAGTTTCTCAGAAAGATTCTTTCTAATTTTTATCTGAAGATATTTCCTTTTTCATCATTAGCCTCAATCTGATCCAAAAGATTGCTTCTCAGATTCTACAAAAACAGCATTTCCACAGTGCCGAATCAAAAAAAAATGAAACCTGCAAGATGAATGCACATATCACAAGGCAGTTTCTCAGATAAATTCCTTCTAGTTTTTATCCTGGTATATTAGCTTTTTCATCTTTAGTGTCAACGGGCTCCCAAATCTCCTTTCACAGAATTGACAAATCCGTCTTTCCAAACAGCTGAATGAAAAGAAAGATTTAACTCTATGAGATGAATGCACATATCACTAAGCTGTTTCTCACGTAGCTTCCTTCTAGTTTTTATCCTGGGATATTCGCTTTCTCACCACTGGCCTAGATGAGCTCCCAAATATCCATTCACAGAAAGGACAAAAGCAGTGTTTACAAACTGCTGAATCAAAAAAAAATTTAACTCTGTGAGATGAAGGCACACATCACAACGCAGTTTCTCAGAAAGCTTCTTTCTATTTTTTATCTAAAGATATTTTCTTCTTAAGCATAGGCCACAACATTACCCAATTATTGCTTCACAGATTCTACAAAAACAGTGTTTCCAAACTGCTGAACAAAAAGAAAGGTTTAATTATGAGTGATTAATGCACACATCACAAAACGATTTCTCAGGTAGCTTCTTTCTAGTTTTCATCATGGGATTTTTGTTTTTTGCAATTGGCCTCAATGAGCCCCCATATGTCCATTTGCAGAATGGACAAAAATGTGTTTCCAAACTGTTATATGAAAAGAAATGTTTACCTCTGAGAGATGAATGCACACATCACAAATCACTTTATCAGATAGCTTCCTTCTAGTTTTCATCCTAGAATATTTGCTTTTTTGCCATTGGCCTCAATGAGCTATGAAATGTCTATTCACAGAATGGACAAAAATAGTGTTTCCAAATTTCAGAATCAAATGAAATTTTTAACTCTGTGAGATGAAGGCACACATCACAAAGCAGTTTCTAAGAAAGCTTCTTTCCAGTTTTTATCTGAAGATATTTTCTTTTCCAACACAGGCCTCAGTGCACTCCCAAATATCTCTTCACAGACTCTACAAAAACAGTGTTTCCAAACTGTGAATGAAAAGCCTGTTTAACTCTGTGAGATAAATGTACACATCAAAAAGTCATTTCTCAGATAACTTCCTTCTAGTTTTATCCCGGAATACTCACTTTTTTGACATTGGCTTCAAAGAGCTCCCAAATGTCCATTCACAGAATGAACAAAAATAATATTTCCAAACTGCTGAATCAAAAGAAAGGTTTCACTCTGAGAGGTATGCAGACATCCAAAAGTGGTTTCTCACAAAGCTTCCTTCTAGTTTTATCCTGGGATATTCGTTTTTTCACCATTGGCCTCAATGAGCTCCCAAATGTCCATTCGCAGAATGGACAAAACAGTTTTTCCAAACTGCTGAATGAATATAAATGTTTCACTCTGTGAGATGAATGCACATTGGAAAGTGGTTTCTCAGAAAATTTCTTCCAGCTTTTATCTTGAGATGATCTCTTTTTCACCTTTGGCCTCAATGAGCTAACAAATATGCATACACAGAATGGACAAAAACAGTGTTTCCAAACTGTTGAGTCAAAAAAATTTTTTAACTCTGTGAGATGAATACACACATCACAAGGCCATTTCTCAGATAGATTCCTTTTAGTTTTTATCCAGGTATGCTCACTATTTTGCATTTGACCTCAATGAGCTCCAAAATATGCATACATAGAGTGGAGAAAAACAGTATTTCCAACCTGCTGAATGAAAAGTGAGGTTTAACTCTGTGAGATGAATGCACACGTCACTAAGTGGTATCTCAGGTAGATTCCTTCTAGTTTTTATCATGGGATAATGGATTTTTTGCAATTGGCTTGGGTGAGCTCCAAAACGTCCATTCGCAGAATGGACAAAAACAGTGTTTCCAAACTACTTAATAAAAAGAAAGGTTAAACTCTGTGAGATGAATGCACACATCACAAAGTAGTTTCTCAGAAATCTTCTTTCTAGTTTTTATCTGAAGATATTTTGTTTTCATCATAGGCCTCAATGCACTCACAAATATCAATTGAGAGATTCTACAAAAACAGTGTTTCCAAACTTCTGAATGAAAAGGAGGGTTTCACTCTGCGAGGTGAATGCACACATCATAAAGCACAAAGTGGTTTCTCACACAGCTTCATTCTAGTTTTTGTCCTGCGATATTTGCTTTTTTGCCATTGGCCTGAATGAGGTCCCAAATGTCCATGCACAGAAAGGACAAAAGCAGTTTTTCCAAACTGCTGAATCAAAATAAGGATTTAAATCTGCCAAAAGAATGCACACATCCCAAGGCAGTTTCTCAGATAGCTTCCTTCTAGATTTTATACTGGGATATTTGCTTTTTCACCATTGGCCTCAATGAGCTCCCAAATGTCCATTCATAGAATGGACAAAAACAGTGTTTCCAAACTGCTGAATCAAAAAAAAAATTTAACTCTGTGAGATGAATGCAAATATCACAAGGCAGTTTCTCAGATAGATTCCTTCAAGTTTTTATCCTGGTATAACAGCTTTTTGCCTTTGGCCTAAATGAGCTCCCAAATCTCCATTTGCATAATGGATAGAAACAGTGTCTCCAACTTGCTGAATGAAAAGAAAGGTTTAACTCTATGAGATGAGTGAACACATCACAAAGCGGTTTCTCAGATATCTTTCTTCTAGTTTTTATCCTGGGATATTCGCTTTTTCACCATTGGCCTAGATGAGCTCAAAAATGTGCTTTTGCAGAATGGACAAAACAGTTTTTCCAAACTGCTGAATGAAAATAAATGTTTAACTCTGTGAGATGAATACACACATCATAAGACTGTTTCTCAGAAAGCTTCTTTCTACTTTTTATCTGAAGATATTTTCTTTTTCACCATAGGCTTCAATATGCTCCCAAATATCCCTTCACAGATCCTACAAAAACAGTGTTTCCGAACTGCTGAATGTAAAGAAAGGCTTATCTCTATGAGATGAATGCATGCGTCACAAAGTTGTTTGTCAGATAGCTTCCTTCTAGTTTTTGTCCTGGGATATTCACTTTTTTGCCTTGTCTTCATTGAGCTCCTAAATGTCCATTCACAGAATGGACAAAAATAGTGTTTACAAACTGCTGTATGAAAAGAAAGTGTTAACTCTGTTAGATGAACGCACACATCACAAAGCGGTTTCTCAGATAGATTACTTCTAGTTTTTATCGTGGGATATTCACTTTTTGCCATTGGCATCAATGAGATCCTAAATGTCCTTTCGCAGAATGGACCAAAACAGTGTTTCAAAAATGCAGAATCAAAAGAAAGGTTTAGCTCTGTGAGATGAAAGCACACATCATAACGCAGCTTCTCAGAAACCTTCTTTCTAGTTTTTATCTAAAGATATTTCCTTTTTCACCATAAGCCTTAACACGCTCCCAAATTTCCCTTCACAGATTCTTAAAAAAAGTGTTTCCAAACTGCTAAATGAAAAGAAAAGTTTATCTCTGTGAGGCAAAGGCTCACATCACAAAGCAGTTTCTCAGATAGCTTCCTTCTAGTTTTTATCCTGGGATATTTGCTTTTTCCCTTTTGGCCTCAGTGAGCTCCCAAATGTACTTTTGCAGAATGGACAAAAACAGAGTTTCCAAACACCTGAATCAGAAGAAAAGTTTAACCTTGTGAGACGAATGCAAACATCACAAAGCACTTTCTCAGAAAGCTTCTTTCTTTTTTTTATCTCGAGATATTTTATTTTTCACCAAAGGCCTCAATGCACTCCGAATTATCCCTTTGCAGATTTTACAAAAAGAGTGTTTTCAAACTTCTGGCTAAAAAGGAAAGTTTAACTCTACGAGATGAATGCACACATTACAAAGTGGTTTCTCAGATAGATTCCTTCTAGGTTTTATCTGAAGTTACTTTATTTTTCACCATAGACATCAATGCACTCCTAAATATCACTTGACAGATTCTACAAAACAGTGTTTCCAAACAGTTGAATTCAAAGAAAACTTTGTCTATGAGAGATGATTGCCCACATCACAAAGTGGTTTCTCTGATACCTTCCTACTAGTTTTTATCCTGGGACGTTTACTTTTTCACCATTGTCCTCAATAAGCTCAAAATGTCCATTGACAGAATAGACAAAAACATTGATTCAAAACTGTTGAATTGAAAGAAAGTTTTAACTCTGTGAGATGAATGCACCCATCACAAAGCAGATCCTCAGATAGCTTCCTTCTAGTTTTTATCCAGGGATATTCGCATTTTCCTCATGGGCCTCAATGAGCTCACAAATGTCAATTTGCAGAATTGAAAAAGACAGTGTTTACACTGCTGTATGAAAACAGAGGTTTAACTGTGCCAGAGGAATGTACACATGACAAAGCAGTTTCTCAGAAAGCTTCTTTCTAGTTTTTATCTGAGGATATTTCCTTTTTCACCATGGTCCTGAACACACTTCCAAATATCCCTTTTCATATTCTACAAAAAAAGTGTTTCTGAACTGCTAAATGAAAAGAAGTTTTAACCCTGCAAGATGAATGCACACATCACAAAGAGGTTTCTCAGATAGCTTCCTTCTAGTTTTTATCCTGGGATATTCACTTTTTCGCCATTGGCCTCAATGAGATCCCAAATGTCCATTCGCAGAATGGGCAAAAACAGTATTTCCAAACTGCTGAAACAAAATAAAGGTTTAACTCTTTGAGATGAATGCACACATCACAAAACAGTATCTCAGAAAGCTTCTGTTAGTTTTCAATTTGAAGATATTTTCTTTTTCACCATAACCTCATTATGCTCCCAAATATCCTTCCACAGGTTCTACAAAAAGAGTGCTTCCAAAATGCTGAATGAAAAGAATGCTTTAACTCTGCAAGCTGAATGCACACATCACAAATTGGTTTCACAGATAGCTTCCTTCTAGTTTTTATTGGGGATATCCAGTTTTTCACAACTGGCCTCAAAGATCTCCAAAATGTGCATTTGTAGAATAGACAAAAACAGTGTTTCCAAATTACTGAATCAAAAGAAAGGTTTATTTCTGTGAAATGAATGCACATATCACAAAGCAGTTTCTCAGAAAATTATTTCTGGTTTTTATCTGAAGATATTGTCTCTTTCACCATATGCCTCAATGCACTACCTAATATCTGTTGGCAGATTCTATTAAAAAATTGTTTCCAAACTGCTGAATGAAAAGAAAGGTTTAACTCTGTGAGATAAATGCAGACATCACAGAGCAGTTTCTCAGATAGCTTCCTCCTAGTTTTTATCCCGGCATATGCACGTTTTTTGCCTTTGGCCTCAACGAGCTCCCTAAAGTCCATTGGCAGAATGGACAACAATGGTGTTCTCAAACTGCTGAAAGAAAAGAAAAGTTTAACTCTGCGAGATGAATGCACACATCATTAAGCAGTTTCTCAGATAACTTCTTTCTAGTTTTTATCCTGGGATGTTCACTTTTTCTCCATTGGCCTAAATGCACTCCAATTGTTCATTCACAGAATGGAGAAAAACAGTGTTTCCAAACTGCTGAATGAAAAGAAAGGTTTAACTCTGCAAGCTGAATGCACACATCCCAAAGCAGTTTCCCAGATAGCTTCCTCCTAATGTTTATCCAGGGACATTCGATTTTTGGCCATTGGCTTCATTGCGCTCCCAAATGTCCATTCACAGAATGAACAAAAACATTGTTTCCAAACTGCTGAATCAAAAGAAAGGTTTAGCTATGTGAGATCAATGCACACATCACAAAGCAGTTTCTCAGACATCTTTTTTCTAGTTTTTATCTGAAGATATTTTCTTTTTCACCATAGGCCTCAATGTACTCCCAAATATCCCTTCACAGATTCTACAAAACAGTGGTTCCAAACTGCTGAAAGAAGAAAGTTTTAGCTCTTTGAGATGAGTGCACTCATCAGAAAGCAGTTTCTTAGAGAGCTTCTTGATAGTTTTTGTAATGGGATATTCGTTTTTTTGCCTTTGGCCTCCATTATCTACCAAATGTCCATTCGGAGAATGGACGAAAAAATTGTTTTAAAATGCTGAATCAAACAAAGGTTTAACTCTGTGAGATGGATGACACACCACAAAACAGTTTCTAAGAAAGATTCTTCCTAGTTTTTATCTGAAGTTATTTTCTTTTTGTACATATGCCTCATTGAGCTTCCAAATGTCCATTTGCATATTCTACAAAACAGTTCTTCCAAAAGCACAGTTGAAAAGCAGAATAAAAAGAAAGATTAAACTCCTCAACCTTAATGCAAACATCACAAATCTGTTTCTCAAATAATTTCCTTCCAGTATTTATCCTGGGATAATTGCTTTTTTGCCTTTGGCTTCAATGAGCTCCAAAATGTCCATTCACAGAATGGACAAATACAGTGTTTCCAAACTGCTGAATCAAAAGTAAAATTTATTCTGTGAGATCAATGCACACATCACAGAATGGTTTCTCAGATAGCTTCCCTCTAGTTTTTATATTGGGATATTCTGTTTTTCTCCACTGGCCTCAATGAGCACCCAAATGTTCACTTGCAGATTGGACAAAAACAGTGTTCCACAAGAGCTGAATGAAAAGAAAGTTTTAATTCTGTGAGTTGAATACAAACATAACACAGTGGCTGCTGAGATAGCTTCCACTTAGTTTTTTTCCTGGGACACTTGTTTTTTTGCCATTGGCTTCAATGAGCTTCAAAATGTCCATTCTCAGAATGGACAAAAACAATGTTTCCAAAATGCTTAATAAAAAGAAAGTTTTAACTGTGTGAGAAAAATGCACACATCACAAAGCAGTTTCTCAGAGAGCTTCTTTCTAGTTTTTATTTGAAGATATTTTGTTTATCACCATAGGCCTCAATGCACTCCCAAATATCCCTTCACAGTTTCTACAAAAACAGTATTTTCAAACTGCTGAATGAAAAATAGTTTTAACTCTGGGAGATGAATGCTCCCATCACAAAGTAGTTCCCCAGATAGTTTCCTTCTGTTTTTTATCCTGGGATATTCGCTTTTCCTCATTGGCCTAAATTAGATCTCAAATATCCATTTGCAGAATGGACAAAAACAGTGTTTCCAAGCTGCTGAATCAAAATAAAGGTTTAACTGTGTGAGATGAATGCACACATCACAAAGCAGTTTCTCAGATAGCTTCTTTCCAGTTTTTATCCTGGGATATTCACTTTTTCCTGATTGACCTCAAACAGCTCCCAAATGTCCATTTTCAGGATGGAAAAAAACATTGTTTCCAAACTCCTGAATTAAAAGAAAGTTTTCATCTGTGAGATGAATGCAAACACCACAAAGCAGTTTCTCAGAAAGCTTCTTTCTAGTTTTTAACTGAAGATATTTTATTTTTCACCATAGGCCTCATTGTGCTCCAAATATTCCCTCATAGATTCTACAAAAATGGTGTTTCCAAACTGATCGATGAAAGAAAGGAGTAACTCTGCAAGATGAATACACACATCACTAAGCAGTTTTTTTAAGATAATTTCCTTCTAGGTTTTATCATGCTACATTTGCTTTTCCCCATTGGCCTCAATGAGCTCCAAAATGTCCAATCACAGAATGGACAAAAACAGTGTTTCCAAACTGCTGAATCAACATAAAGATTTAACTCTCTGAGATGAATGCATACATCACAAGCTGTTTCTCAGATAGCTTATTTCTAGTTTTCATCTGAAGATATTTTCTTTTTCATCATAGGTTTCAATGCACTCCCCAATATCCATTCACAGATTTTTAAAAAAATATTGCTTGCAAACTGTTGAAGGAAAAGAAAGGCATAACTGTGAGATGAATTCACACATCACAAAGATATTTCTCAGATAGCTTCCTCTTAGTTTTTATCTTGGGACATTCAATTTTTCACCCTTGGCCTCAGTGAGCTCCCAAATGTCCATTTGCAGATCTACAAAAAAATGGTTTCCAAACTGCTGAATGAAAAGAAAGATTTAATTCCTTGAGATGAATGCTCACATGACATAGATGTTTCTCAGATAGCTTCCTCTCAGTTTTCATCCTTGTACATTTGATTTTTGGCCATTGGCCACAATGAGCTTCAAAATGTCCATTCATCGAATGAACAGAAAAAGTGTTTACAAACTGCTGAATGAAAAGGAAGGTTTAATTCTAAGAGATGAATGCCCACATCACAAAGCATTTTCTCAGATTGCTTCTTTCTAGTTTTTGTCATGGGATATTCACTTTTTTGTCATTGGCCTTGATTAGCTCCCAAATATCCATTCACAGAATGGACTAAAACAGTGTTTCCTAACTTCTGAAACAAAAGAAAGGTTTAACTCTGTGAGATGAAAGCACACATCACAAAGCAGTTTCTCAGAAAACGTCTTTCTAGTTTTTATCTGATGATATCTACCTTAGGCCTCAATGCACCACAAATTTCCATTTGCAGATTTTAGAAATCAGTGTTTCCAAACAGCTGAATGAAAAGAAAGATTTTACTCCTCGAGGTGAATGAACACATCACAAAGTGGTTTCTTAGATTGCTTCCGTCTCTTTGTATCGTGGGATATCCTCTTTTTCACCTTCGGCCTCAATGAGCTTCCAAATGTAGATGTGTAGAATGGAAAAAACAGTGTTTCCAAACTGCTGAATCAAGAGAAGGTTTTTGTCTCTCTGAGATGAAAGCACACATCACAAAACGGTTTCTCAGATAGATTCCACTTATTGTTTATGCTGGGATGTTCGCTTTTTCACCATTGGCCTCAATAAGCTCTCAAATGTCCATTCACAGAGTGGACAAAAACAGTGTTTTTCAAACTGATGAATCAAAAAAAGGTTTATCTCAGTGAGGTGAATGCTTGCTTCACAAAGCAGTTTCTCAGAAATCCTCTTTCTAGTTTTTATCTGAAAATATTTTCTTTTTCACTATAGGCCTCAATGCGCTCCCAACTGTCCATTCTCAGATTCTACGAAAACAGCTTTTCCAAACTGCTGAATAAAAAGAAAGATATAACTCCTCGAGCTGAATGCACACATCACAAACAGGTTTACCAGATAGCTTCCTTCTGTTTTCATTCTGGAATATTTGGTATTTCACCATTGGCATCAGCGAGGTCCCAAATGCCCTTTTGCAGAATGGACAAAAGCAGTGTTTCCAAATTGATGAATCAAAAGAAAGTTTAAATCTGTTAGATGAATGCACACATCACAAAGTGGTTTCTAAGACAGTTTCCTTCTGTTTTTATTCTGGGATATCCCCTTTTTTGCCATTGGCATCAAAGAGCTCCAAAATGTCCATTCACAGAATGGACAAAAACAGTGTTTCTAAACAGCGGAATGAACACAAATATTTAACTCGTGAGATTAATGCACACATCACAAAGCAGTCTCTCAGAAAGCTTCTTTCTAGATTTATCTGAAGATATTTCCTTTTTCACCATAGGCCTCAATGAGATCCCAAATATCCCTTTGCAGATTCTTCAAAAACAGTTTTTGCAAACTGCTGAATAAAAAGAGAGTTTTAACTTGGCAAAATGAGTGCACACATCAAAAGCAGTTTCTCAGATAGCTTCCTTGTAGTTTTTATCCTTGTATGTTTGCTTTTTTGTCATTGACCTCAATGAGCTCCCAAATGTCCATTTGCAGGATGAAAAAAAACAGTGTCTCAAAACTGCTGAATGAAAGGAAATGTTTAACTCTGTGAGATTAATGCATACATTACAAAGCAGTTTCTCAGAGAGCTTCCACATAGTATTCATCCTGGGATGTTCGATTTCTTGCCATTGGCCTCACTGAGCTCCCAAATGTCCATTCACAGAATGGACAAAAATAGTTTCCAAATTGCAGAATCAAAAGAAACTTTTAACTCTGTGAGATGAGTGCATATGTCACAAAGCAGTTTCTCAGAAAGACTCTTTCTAATTTTTATATGAAGGTATTTTGTTTTTAATCATAGGCCTCAATGTGCTCCCGAATATTTCTTTGCAGATGCTACAAAAAGAGTTTTTCCAAATTGCTTAATGAAAAGAAAGGTTTACCTCAGTGAGATGAATGCATACATCACAAAGAGGTTTCTCAAGTAAGTTCAGTCTCATCTTCTTCCTGGGATAGTCCCTTTTTCGACATTGGCCTCAATGAGTTCTCAAATGTCCATTCAGAATGGAAGAAAAAAGCAGTTTTCAAAACTGTTGAAGGAAAGGAAAGATTTAACTCTGCTAGATGAATGCACACATCACAAAGCAGCTTCACAGAGTGCTTCCTTCTGTTTTTGTTCTGGGTTATTTGCTTTTTTTTGCAATTGGCCCCCATGAGCTCCCTTAAGTCCATTTGAAAAATTGACAAAAACAGTGTTTCCAAACTGCTGAATGAAAAGAAAGATTTAAGTCTGTGAGACGAATGCAAGCACCCAAACTGTTTTCTCAGATAGCTTCCTCTAAGTTTTTATCCTGGGACATTCCCTTTTTCACTATTGGCTTGAAAGAGCAGCAAAATGTCCATTTGCAGAAAAGACAAAAACAGTGTTTCCAAACTGCTGAATCACAAGAAAGTTTTAACTCTCTGAGACAAATGCACACATCAGAAAGAGGTTTCTCATAGTGCTTCCTTCTAGTTTTTATCCTGGGATATTCTCTTCTTTGCCATTGACCTCAATGAACTCCCAAATGTCCATTTGCATAATGGGCAAAAACAAAGTTTAAAAACACTAAATCAAAAGAATGGTTTAACCCTGAGAGATGAATGCACACATCACAAAGCAGTTTTTCAAAAAGATTTTTTTTGTTTCCATCTGAAGATATTTTCTTTTCAACCATAAGCCTCAATTCCCTTCCTAATGTCCATTCATAGATTCTACAAAAAAAGTGTTTTGGAACTGCAGAATGAATAGAAAGATTTAACTCTGTGAGATGAATGCACACATCACAAAGTGGTTTCTCAGACAGATTCCTCTTAGTGTTTATCCTGGGGCATTCCATTTTTTGCCATTGTCCTTAATGAACACCAAAATGTTCATTCACAGCATGGACAAAAACAGCGTTTCCAAACTTCTGACTCAAAAGAAACATTTAACTCTATGAGATGAATGCACATATCACAAAGAAGTTTCTCAGAAAGCTTCTTTCTAGTTTTTATCTGAAGGTATTATATTTTCACCCCAGTTCTCAATGTGCACCCAAATATCCCTTTGCAGATTCTGGTTTCTCAGATAGATTCCTCTTAGTGTTTATCCTGGGACATTCCATTTTTTGCCATTGTCCTTAATGAACACCAAAATGTCCGTTCAGAGAATGGACAAAAACAGTGTTTCTAAACTGTTGAATCAAAAGAAAGGTTTAATTCTGTAAGGTGAATGCAGACATCACAAAGCACTTTCTCAGAAAGCTTCTTTCTGGTTTTTATCTGAAGATCCCTTCACATATTCTACATAAACAGTGTTTCCAAACTGTTGAAGCAAAAGAAACTTTTAACTCTGTGAGATGAATACACACATCAGAAAAATGTTTCTGAGATAGCTTCCATCTAGTTTTTATCCTGGCATATTCACTTTTTCACCATTGGCCTCAATGAGCTCCCAAATGTCCAGACAAAAACAGTGTTTCCAAACTACTGAACAAAAAAAAGGATTAACTATGTGATATGAATGCACACATAACAGAGCGGTATCTCAGATAGTTTCCTTCTAGTTTTTATCCGGTGATATTTGCTTTTTTGCCATTTGCCTCAATGAGCTCCTATATGTCCACCACAGAATGGACAAAAACAGTTTTTCCAAGCTGCTAAATGAAAAGAAAGTTTTAACTCTGCGAGTTGAATGCACATTTCACAAAAAGTTTTCTCAGATAGCTTCCTTCTTCTTTTCATCCTGGGACATTGAATTTTTCATCATTGGGCTTAAAGGACTCCGAAATGTCCAATTGCAAAATAAACAAAAACAGTGTTTCCAAACAGCTGAATTAAAAGAAAGGTGTAACTTTGTGAGATGAATGCATACAACATAAAGCAGTTTCTCAGAAAGCTTCTTTCTATTTTTCATCTGAAGGTATTTTCTTTTCCATCATAGGCCTCAATGTGCTCCCAAATATACCTTCACAGATTCTACAAAAAGAGTGTTTCCAAACTGCTGAATGAAAAGAAAGGTTTAACTCTGTGAGATGAATGAGCACATCACAAGGCAGTTTCTCAGATAGCTTCCTCTGAGTTTATATCCTGTGATATTCAATTTTTTGCCATTTGCCTCAGTGAGCTCCCAAATGTGCATTCCAAGAATGGACAAATAAAGTGTTTCCAAACTGTTGAATCAAAACAAAGTTTTAACTCAGCGAGATGAAAACACACATCACAAAGCAGTTTCTCAGATAGATTCCTCTTAGTTTTTATCCTAGGACATTCAATTTTTCATCATTGGGCTTAAAGGTCTCCCAAATATCCAGTCGAAGAATAAAAAATACAGTGTTTCCAAACAGCTGAATTAAAAGAAAGGTGTAACTTTGTGAGGTGAATTCATACAACACAAAGCAGTTTATCAGAAAGCTTCTATTTCTTATCTGAAGATATTTTCTTTTTCATCATAGGTCTCAATGTGCTCCCAAATATACCTTCACAGATTCTACAAAAAGAGTGTTTCCAAACTGCTGAATGAAAAGAAAGTTTTAACTCTGCGAGATGAATGTGCACATCACAAGGCAGTTTCTCAGATAGCTTCCTCTGAGTTTATATCCTGTGACATTCAATTTTTCGCCTTTTGCCTCAATGAGCTCCCAAATGTGCATTCCAAGAATGGACAAATAAAGCGTTTCCAAACTGCTGAATCAAAAGAAAGGTTTAACTCTGTGAGATGAAACACATCATCACAAAGGAGTTTCTCAGATAGTTTCCTCTTAGTTTTTATCCTGGGACAATTTGATTTTTTGCCATTGGCCTCAAAGAGCTCCCAAATGTCCATTCAGAGAATGGACAAAAGCAGTGTTTCTAAACTTTTGAATTCAAAGAAAGGTTTAAATGTCTGAGATGAATGCACACATCACAAAGCAGTTTCTCAGAAAGCTACTTTCTCATTTTTATCTGAAGATATTTTCTTTTTCAAAATAGGCCTCAAAGCACTCCCAAATATCCCTTCACAGATTCTACAGAAACAGTGTTTCCAAGCTGCTGAATGTAAAGAAAGGTTTCACTTGCTAGATGAATGTGCACATAACAAAGCAGTTTCTCAGATAGTTTCCTCTGAGTTTATATCCTGTGACATTCAATTTTTCACCATTGTCCTCAAAGAGCTCTGAAATGTGCATTTCCAGAATGGACAAATAAAGTGTTTCCAAACTGCTGAATCAAAATAAAGTTTAACTCTGTGAGATGAATGCACACATCACAGAGCAGTTTCTCAGAAAGCATTTTTTCTAGTTTTTATCTACAGATATTTTCTATTTGAACATAGGCCTCAATGCACTCTGAAATAACCCTTCACAGATGCTAAAAAAAGAGTTTTTCCAAACTGCTTAATGAAAAGGAAGGTTTACCTCTTTGAGATGAATGAACACATCATAAAAAGTTTTCTAATATAGCTTTCTTCTAGTTTTCATCCTGAAATATTTTCTTTTTCGCCATTGGCCTCAATGAGCTCCCAAATTTCCATTTGCAGAATGGAAAAAAACAGTGTTTCCAAACTTCTGAATCAAAAGAAAGTTTTAAGTCTGTGAGATGAATGCACACATCACAAAGTAATTTCTCAGAAAGTTTCTTTCTATTTTTATCTGAAGATATTTTCTTTTTCACCATAGGCCACAATGTGCTCCCAAATATTTATTTGCAGATGCTACAAAAACAATTTTTCCAAATTGCTTAATGAAAAGAAAGTTTTACCTCAACAAGATGAATGCACACATCATATGGGTTTCTCAGATAGCTTCCTTCTCATTTTCTTCCTGGGATATTCGTTTCTTCGCAATTGGCCTCAGTGAGCTCCCACATGTCCATTTGCAGAATGGAAATTAAACAGTGTTTCAAAACTGCTGAGTGAAAGGACAGGTTTAACTCTGCTAGATGAATGCACACATCACAAAGCAGTTTCACAGATAGCTTCTTTCTGTTTTTATTCTAGGTTATTTGCTTTTTTGCCATTGGCCTCAATGAGCTCCCTAAAGGCCGTTTGCAGAAAAGACAAAAACAGTGTTTCCAAACCACTGAATCAAAAGAAAATTTTAACTCTCTGAGACAAATGCACACATCACAAAGCAGTTTCTCATAGAGCTTCCTTCTAATTTTTATCCTGGGATATTTTCTTCTCACCTTTGACCTCAAATAGCTCCCAAATGTCCATTCACAGAATGGACAAAAACAGTGTTTAAAAGCTGCTGAAACAAAAGAATGGTTTAACCCTGTGAGACGAATGCAAACATCACAAAGCAGTTTTTCAAAAAGATTTTTTATAGTTTCTATTTGAAGATGATTTCTTTTCAACCATAGGCCTCAGTTCACTCCCAAATGTCCATTTGTAGATTCTACAAAAACAGTGTTTCCAAACTGCTGAAAGAAAAATAAGATTTACATCCTCAAGCTGAATGCACACATCACAAAGAGCTTCCTTCTGCTTTTATAGCTTCCTCAGATAGCTTCCTTCTGTTTTTATACTATGATATTCACCTTATTGCCATTGGCCTCAATGAGCTCCCAAAAGTCCACTGACAGAATTGACAAAAACAGTGTTTCCAAACTGCTGAACCAAAAGAAAGTTTTAACTCTGTGCGGTGAATGCACATATCACAAAATGGTTTCTCAGATAGCTTCCTTCCAGTTTTTATCCTGGGATATTTGCTTTTTCCCCATTGGTCTCAATGAGATCCCAAATATCCATTCATAGAGTGGACAAAAACAGTGTTTCCAAACTGCTAAATCAATAACAGGTTTAACTCTGTGCAATGAATGCACAATCACAAAGCAGTTTTTCAGAAAGCTTCTTTCTAGTTTTTACCTGAAGACATTTTCTTTTTCATCATAAGCTGCACTGTGCTCCCAAATATTTCTTTGCAGATTCCACAAATACAATTTTTCCAAACTGCTTTATGAAAAGAAAGGTTTATCTCTGCGAGATAAATGCACGCATCACAAAGATTTTTCTCTGTCAGCTTCTTTCTGGTTTCTTCCTGGGATATTCATTTTTTTTGCCATTAACCTCAAAGAGCTCCTAAATGCCCATTCACAGAAAGGAAAAAAGCAAAGTTTCAAAACTTCAGAATGAAAGAAAAGGTTTAACTCTGCAAGATGAATGCACACGTCACAAAGCAGTTTCTCAGATAGCATCCTCTTGTTTTTATTCTGGGTTTTTTCCTTTTTTGCCATTGGCCAAATGAGCTCCCAAATATCCAGATGGAAACAGTTTTTCCAAACTACTCAATCAAAAGAAAGTTTTAACTATGTAAGATGCATTCACACACAGCAAAGAAGTTTCTCAGAAAGCTTCTTTCTGGTTTTTATCTGAAGATATTTTCTTTTTCATCACAGGCCTCAAGGTGTTCCCAAATATCCCTTGGCAGATTCTACAAAACCAGTGTTTCAAAACTGCTGAATGAAAAGAAAAGTTTAACTCAGACAGATGAATGCACACATCACAAAGCAGTTTCTCATATAGCTCCCTTCTACTTTTTATCTGGTGATATTCCCTTTTTCACCATTGGCCTCAATGAGCAACCATATGTCCACTCACAGAATGGACAAAAATAGTGTTTCAAAACTGCGGAATGAAAAGAAAGGTTTAACTCAGTGAGATGAGTTTACATATCACATAAAGGTTTCTCAGATAGCTTCCTTCTACTTTTCATTCTGGGATATTCGATTTTTTGTCATTGGCCTGAATGAGCTCTGAAATGTCCATTCCCAGAATGGAAAAAATCAGTTTTTCCAAACTGCTAGGTCTAAAGAAAGGTGTAACTTTGTGAGATGAATGCACAGAACACAAAGCAGTTCCTCAGAAACTATTTTTCGACTTTTTATCTGATGATAGTTTCTTTTTCACCATAGGCCTCAATTTGCTCCCAAATATCTTATACCAGATCATACAAAAACAGTTTTTCCAAACTTCTTAACGAAAAGAAAGATAGACCTCTGCAAGACGAATGCACACATCACAAAGAGGTTCCTGAGATAGCTTCTTTCTGATTTTCTTCATGGGATATTCACTTTTTCGACTTTGGCGTCAAAGAGCTCCCAAATGTCTTTTCATAGAATGGACAAAAATATTGTATCCAAATTGCTGAATCAAAAGTAAGTTTTAACTCTGTGATATAAATGTCCACATCACAAAGCTGTTTCTCATATACATTCTTTCTGTTTTATTTGGTGATATTCACTTTTTCACCTTTTGCCTCAATGAGCTCCCAAAGGTCCATTTGCAGAATAAACGAAAATCATGTTTCTAAACTGCTGAATCAAAAGAAAGGTTTAACACTGCAAGATGAATGCACACATCACAAAACAGTTCCTTAGATAGCTTCCTTCTAGTTTTTATCTTGGGATATTCACTCTTTCACCATTGGCCTCAATGAGCTCCCAAATGTGCATTCCCAGATTGGACAAATAAAGTGTTTCCAAACTGCTGAATCAAAGGAAAAGTTTAAATCTGTCAGGTGAATGCACACATCACAAAGCAGTTTCTCAGAATGCTTCTTTCTAGTTTTTATCTGCAGATATTTTCTTTTTGAACATAGACCTCAATGTGCTCCCAAATAAACCTTTGCAGAGGCTACAAAAACAGTTTTTCCAACCTGATTAATGAAAAGAAATGTTTACCTCTGTGAGATGAATGAACACATCACAAAAAGATTTCTAATATAGCTTACTTCTAGTTTTCATCCTGAAACATTCCCCTTTTCGCTATTGGCCTCAATGAGCTCCAAGTTGTCCGTTCTGAGACTCTACAAAAACTGTGTTACCAAACTGCTGAAGGAAAAGAAATATTTAACTCCTCAAGCTGAATGCACACATCACAAAGCACTTTCTGAGATGGCTTCCTTTTCGTTTTTATCCTGGGATATTCAATTTTCACCATAGGCCTTAGTGAGCTCCCATATGGCCATCCACAGAATGGATATAAACAGTGTTTCCAAACTGTTGAATCAAAAGAAAAGTTTGACTCTGTGAGAGGAATTC
>NT_187383.1:0-40861 GCF_000001405.40 Homo sapiens | reverse complement strand
CAGGGTATACAAATTTATGAACTTTACTTTCAGAAACATGACATGGCTTTTACAGGGAAGATGATAGAAAAAATGCTTCTTGATTCCAGTAGGAGGAAGGGAAATGTAGCCATTTTTAACTATTCCCAGAAAATTTTCTTTTTAACATTCCTATCTTCAATATAAACTATGTATCAAAAGCCTAACCAACTGAGATTTTACCAGAGCCAGACTTCCTGGAGTAAGAGAAATGCCCAATTCCATCCCCCTCTAACCTTCTTGATCCAGTTAAGAGAGGTAAAGAGTGAGAAGTCCTCATGAAATTCACAGCCTAGGGATACACTGTTTTGTTTTGATTTGTTTTAATGAGGCTAATGCATAAGTCAATAGAGTGCTTTGCCTAAGCTCTCACATAACCACTACATCAACAGCAGAATAAATACATGGTAGCAGAATACAACTGAAAGAACTGTATGCCTCAGATCTTGTTAAATAAGTCTCTAAGAGACCACAAGGAAATTGAATAATGTTGATAAAGTTGACACATGTATATGTAGAAATACACAATGTACTGACACTGAGTCATGAACAAATAGAAAATCTGAACAGACCTATAGTTGCAGATTGATGCAAAAATCACCCCTCCAGAAAAAAAAGTACAAAACTGTTATGCTGCTGAATCTATCAAACATTTTAAGAATTAATTACCAATTATCCTCAAACTCTTGCAAAAACCTGAAGATGCAGAAACACTTCCAAATTTATTCTATGAGGTAGGCCAAAATTACAGTGACATAAAAAATGAACAAAAGCACTACAAGAAAAGAAAGTTGAAGAAAAATGTTCTTTATAAATAATATAAAATCTATAAAATAAATATTAGCAAAATATATTTAGCAGAATAATAAGAGGGTTATCTACCAAGACTAATTGAGAGTTATTACTGAAGTGCAAAGATGCTTTAACATATAAATATCAATAAATGTAGCCAGGCACAGTGGCTTGTGCCTGTAATCCCAGTTACCCAGGATGCTAAGGTGATAGGTTCACTTCAGTCCAGGAGTTCAAGAGCAGTCTAAACAACATCATAATATCCTGTCTCTAAAAATAAATAAATAATAAATAAATAAACAAATAATCATAATATACCGCATTAGTACTGTTAAACACCACAATATCTCAATTTACACAGAAAAAGCATTCTACAAGATATTACTCATTCATGGTACAAACACACAACATAATCAACAGTGAAATACAAAAAATGTTTTCCCTTAATATCAGGAACTAAAAATAGTTCCTCTTTTTTACCACTTCCACTCAACAGAGTATATAAAACTTTAGCTTAAGCAATAACAAAAATAAAATAAAGACAAAAATGCATATGTTAAAAAGAATAAAATAGAAATATCTCTGTTCACAGTAATCATGTATGCACACAATTCTGAAGATTGTACAAACAGAAAAACACCTCAAAACAGTTTAAACAAATTAAGTAATGTTGCAGGATACAAAATTAACTTACAAAACTCAGTTGCATTGATGCACACCAATAATGATTAATCTGAAAAGGAAATTAAGAAAACAATACCATGAACAACAGTATTAAAAAGAATAAAATGCTCTGGAATCAATTTAACCAGGATGACAAACTATTTGTACAATAAAAACTTTCAAAATGCTGCTGTAAGAAATCAAAGGTACAAATAAATGGAACAGTATCTTCTGTTCATAGGTGAAAAGACTTTTTAAAAAATTTCAACTTTTATTTTAGATTCAGGGGTTACAGGCACAGATTTGTTATGTAGGAATATTGTATAATGCTCAGGTTTGGAGCACATAGGTAGTGAGCACAGCAACCAATATGTAGTATATTAACTTGCCCTCCCCTCTGCACACTTTAGTAGTCCACCGTGTTTACTGTTCCCATATTTATGTCCATATATGCTCAATGTTTAGCTCTTATAAGTAAGAACATGCAGTATTTGGCTTTCTGTTTCTGCATTAATTTGCTTGAAATTATGGCCTCTGGTTCCACCTATGTTCATACCAAGGACATGATTTCATTATATTTCACAGCTGTGTAGTATTCCATGGTGTATACATACCAGGTTTTCTTTATCCAATATACCATTGATGGGCATCTGGATTGATCCCACATCTTTGCTATTGTGAATAGCACAGTGATGCATTCAAGTGCATATGTCTTTTTGGTAGAATGATTTATTTTCTTTTGGGTATATACCCAGTTGTAGGATTGCTGGGTAAATTGGTAGTTCTGTTTTAAGTTCTTTCAGAAATCTCGAGACTGCTCTCCACGATTGCTGAACTAATTTACAATCCTGCCAGTGACGTAAAGTGTTTCCTTTTCTGCACAGCCTTGCCAACATGTTATTTATTGACTTTTTAGTAATAGCCATTCTGACTAACATGAGATGGTACCTCATTGTGGTTCTGATTTGCATTTATCTGATAATTACTGATGCTGAGCAATTTTTCATGTTTGTTGGCCACTTGTATATCTTCTGTTCAGGCATATCTGTTCATCTCATTTGCCCATTTTTTATTTTTTAATGGTTTTTTTTTTTTGGCTTGTTGATTTGAGTTCCCTATGGAGTCTGGATATTAGGCTTTTGTTAGACTCATAGTTTGTGAATATCTCCTCCCATTCTGGAGGATGCCTCTTTCCCCTGTTGATAGTTTATTTTGCTGTGCAGAAGCTATTTAGTCAAATTAAGTCCTACTTGTCTATTTTTGTTTTGGTTGCAATTGCTTTTGGGGACTTAGCCAAAAACGACTTGCCAAGGCTGATGTCAAAAAAATATTTCCTAGGTTATCTTCCAGAATTTTTATAGTTTGAGGTCTTACACTTAAATTTTTAATCCATTTAAATTTAATTTTGGGGCATGTTGCAAGGTAAAGGTCTAGGTTCAATCTTCTGCCTATGGCAAGCCAGTTATCCCAGAATGTATTGACTAGGGAGTCCTTTCCCCATTGCTTGTTCTTGCCAGCCTTGTCAAATATCATATGGTTGTAGGTGTGTGACTTTCAGCAGTGTTTTGTAGTTCTCCTTGAAGAGATCTTTCATTTCCTTGGTTATCTGTATTCCTAGGTATTTCTCTTTTTTGTGGCTATTTTAAGTGGAATTGTGTTCTTGATTTCACTCTTGGCCTGGACATTGTTGGTGTATGGAAATGCTACTTATTTCACCATAATCAGTACTGTTTACACTGATTTTGTATCCTGAGACTATACTAAAGTTATTAATTCTAGGAGCCTTCTGGCAGAATCTCTAGGATTTTCTAGGCATAGGATCATATTTTCAGCGAAGAGAGATAGTTTGACTTCTTTTCCTGTTTCGTTACTTTTTCTTTCTCTTGCCTGATTGCTCTGCATAGGACTTCCAGTACTAAGCTGAATAGGAGTGCTGTGAGTGAGCATCCTTGTCTTGTTTCAGTTCTCATAGAAATAGTTTTAAGTTTTTAACCTATTGAGTATGATGTTGACTGTGGGTTTCCCATAGATGACTCTTATTATTTTAAGGTATGTTCCTTGGATGCCTAGTCTATTGAGGATTTTTACCATGAAGTAGTGTTGGATTTTATTAAGAAGACCTTTGTGTATCTGTTTAGAAAATCATATGGTTTTTACTTTTGATTCTATTTAGCTGGTGAATCACATTTATTGGTTTGCATATGTTGAACCAGCTTGCATCCCAGGAATAAAGCCTACTTGACCATGGTGTATTACCTTTCTGATGTGGTGCTGAATTTGGTTTGCTAGTATTTTGTTGAGGATTTTTACATTTTCTGTTCATGAGGGATCTTGGTCTGAAGTTTTGTTTTTTCACAGTGTCTCTGCCAGATTTTCATATCATGCTACTGCTGGTTTCAAAGAATGAGTTAGGAAGGAGCCCCACCGCCTCGATATTTTGAAATAATTTTAGTAGGATTGATATCATTTCTTCTTAGTATGTCTGGTAAAACTCAGCAGCCAATCTACCTGTTTCAGGCCTTTTTGTTGTTGTTGTTGTTGTTGGTAGGTTCTTTAGTACTGACTCAATGTCAGAAGTTGATATTAGTCTACTTAGAGTTTTGATCTCTTTCTGATTCCATCTTGGGAGACTGTGTGCTTCCTGGAATTTATTCATTTTCTCCAGATTTTCTAATTTGCGTGCAGAGCTGTTCATAGTACTCGCTGAGGATCTTTTGTATCTCTATCTGATCCATTTTAATATAACCTGTCATTTTTATTGCGCTTATTTGGATCTTCTCTTTCTTTTTTATATTTGTTAATTTGGCTAGGAGCTTATCAATTTTTTTTGAAGAACCAATTTTTTGTTTTCTTGGACTGTTGTATACATTTTTGCATCTCAACTTCATTAAATTCTTCTCTAATTGCTGTTATGTCTTCTCTCATGCTAGCTTTGGGGTTGGTTGGTTCTTTTTTTCAAGTTCCTTTAGGTGCAAAGTTACATCGTTAATTTGAGACATTTCTAACTTCTTGATAAAGGCATTTAGGGCTATAAAGTTTCCTCTTAACACTGCTTTGGCTGCATCTTAGAAATTTTGGTAAGTTGTGTTCCTATTTCTATCAATTTCAAGTAATTTTTATATTTCTGCCTTACTTTGATGTTTACAAAGGATTTATTCAGGAGTAAGTTGTTTAATTTTCATGTATTTCTGTAGTTTTGAGAGATCTTGGTATGCATTTGTATTTTTTATTGTACTGTGCTCCAACAGTGTGCTTGGTGAGATTTCATTTTTCCTTAATCTATTCAGGCTTTATTTATCACTGAGCACGTGGTTGAACTTAGAATTTTTTTTTGTGCAGATGAGAAAAATGTACATTCTGTGGTTGTTCGATGGAGTTTTCAATAGATGTCTATTAGGTCCAATTGGTCAAGTGTGGAGTTTAACTCCAGAGTTTTCCTGTTAGTTTTTTTTTTTTTTGGCCTCAGTGATATGTCTAATGCTGTAAGTAGGGTGTTGAAGTCTCTTACTACTATTGTGATGTTGTCTAAGCCTTTTTGTGGGGAAAGAAAAAGTCATTTTGTAAATCTGGGTGCTCCAATATTAAGTGTATATATATTTAAGATATTTAAGGCTTCTCACAGGATTTTATCCTTTATCAATATGCCCTTGTTATTCTTCTTTTCATTGGTAGGCAAAGAAGAAGTCATTTTATGAATTTGGATGCTCCAGTGGTAATCACATATATATTTAAGATAGTTAAGGCTTCTTGTTAGATTGCACCCTTTATCAAAATGCTCTTCTTGTCCCTCTTAGTGTTTTTTTTTTTTTTTTTGGTTTAAATTTGTTTTATCTAATATAAGAATAGTGACTGCTGCTTGTTTTTGTTTCGTTTGCATGGTAGAATACACTCCACCCTTTTACTCTGAGGCAAAGGGTGTGTCTTGAAAGCAACAGATGGATGGGTACTGTCTTTTTATCCAGGATGCCACTTTGTGTCTTTTAACTGTGGTGTTTAGCTTACTTACATGTTAGGTGAGTATTGATATGTGTGATTTTGAATTCACCATCATGTTGTTAGCTGGTTGTTATGTAGAGTTGATTGCATTATTGCTTTATAGTGCCTGTGGGCTATGTGCTTAAGTGAGCTTTTTTGGTAGCAGATATCATTCACTTGAATCCATGTTTAGCACTACCTTAAAGACCTCTTGTAAGGCTGGTCTAGTTTAAATGTATCACGTCAGCATTTGCTTGTCAAAGGAATTTTTTTTTTCCTCTTTCACCTATGAAGCTTAGTTTAGAGGGATATAAAATTATTGGTTAATTTTTTTTCCTTTAAAAACTCTGCAGATAGGCCCCTAACCTCTTCTGGTTGCAAGGAGTCTGCTGAGAGGTCTGCTGCTAGTCTGATGGAATTCACTCTGTGAGTAACCTGCCCTTTCTCTCTAACTGATCTTAAATTTTTTTTTGCACTGACTTTGGTGAATCTGATGACTATGTGACATGGAAATAGCAATATGGTTTGGATCTGTGATTCTGCCCCAATCACATGTGGAACTGTAATCTTCAATGTTGGAGGTGGGGCCTGCTGAGAGGTGATTGGATAATGGGGATAGATCCTTGTGAATGGTTTAACACCAGCCCCTTGTGCTGTCTTGCGATAACGTTCTCATGAGATCTGGCTGTTTAAGAATGGGTAGCACCTCCCCGCTCTCTGTGTTGCTCCTGTTCTTCCATGTAAGATGCCTTGCTCCCCCTCTTCCTTCTTCCATGGTTGTTAGTTTCCTGAGGGCTCCCCATAAGCCAAGCTGATGCTGCCATGCTTCCGCTGCAGCCTGCAGAATTGTGAGCCAACCAAACTTCTTTTCATTATAAATTACCCAGTATCAAGTATTTCTTTATAGCAATGTGAGAACTGACTAATACAGACTGTCATATATTATTGTATCTGACTAGGGGCTGACTGGGGTTCTCTTGGATTTGAATGGCAACCTCGCTAGTGAGATTAGAGGTACTTTCATGAACTATATCTTCATACATATTTTCCAACTTGCCTATTCTCTTTCCTTCTCTCTCAGAAATGTTGATAAATTGTAGATTTGTTCTCTAAGTAATCTCATATTTCTCAATGGGGATGTTGATTTTTCTTAATTCTTTTATCTTTATTTTTGTCTGACTATGTTGATTCAATAAAACAGTGTTTGAGCTCTGAGATTCTTTTCTCAGTTTAGTCTATTCTGCTGGAAATACTTCTGATTTTATTATAAAATCCTCACAGTAAATCTTTCAGCTCAAGAATTTTTTTAGTTTAGATATTTCTTAAGATTGCTATTTTATCTTTCAGGTTTTGAATCATTTAACCGGATTGCTTGGCTTCCTTGGGTTAAGTTTCAACTTTCTTCTCAATCTAAATGAGTTTCCCTGCTCTTTTTTCCATGTCTGTCATTTTAGACAATTCAGACTGTTAAAAACCATCACTGGGGCACTAGTGGGCTCTCTTGAAGGAGACACTCTGGCTTTTTGCATTGCCAGAGATTTTGAGCCAATTCTTTCTCATCTGAGAGAACTGGTATACCTCTAATTGGGGTATAAATTGAGTATAGTCTATTGGCTTTCTTTTTTTGAAGGTTTTCAGAGGACTAGGACTCTGTACAGTGTCTTTGTTGTTGAATTCTTGCTCTTGGTTTCACAGGGGAAGAATTAGTAAAGTGATTTTTGGTGGTGTAATCTCTACTGCGATCCAGTAGATAGCACTTGAGAGCAGTGGGATGTAGATAGGTTCTTTACCATGCAGTTCCTTTGTGTATCTTCTTTATTTGCAACTATGTTCTGTGGTACAGGTCTGTTCATGAGTCTTGAGAGACTCACTTCCAATCACTGGCACTATGCCCATTATTATTACTATCATTATCTCCTTTTTTTTTTTTTTTTTTTTTTTTTTTTTTTGAGACAGAGTCTTGCTCTGTCGCCCAGAGACTGGAGTGCAGTGGCAGGATCTCAGCTCACTGCAAGCTCTGCCTCCTGGGTTCATGCCATTCTCCTGTCTCAGCCTCCCGGCTAGCTGGGACTACAGGCGCCCGCCACCACGCCTGACTATTTTTTTGTATTTTTAGTAGAGACAGGGTTTCACCGTGTTATCCAGGATGGTCTCGATCTCCTGACCTCGTGATCCACCCGCCTCCGCTTACCAAAGTGCTGGGATTACAGGCGTCAGCCACCGCGCCCGGCCTATTACTATCATTATCATTATTGTCATTGTTGTTAGGTGTTTCAAGCTGTGGGGCTTCCTCAGGGAGATGTCTTCTAGAAAAATACCCTGCATCTTTACCATAACAGCCCTGTGGAAGGAGGTGTGCCTAGGGCCCACGCCAGCCTGTGAACCTGTGTGAATCTGGCCTCTCAGTTTCTGAAGAGTGTGGGTTCCTCCCCCATTCAACTGCCCAGCACAGATCCCAGCTTGACACTCCTGAACCACAGGCCACAGCACTGGAGTGCCACGACTTGCTTATGACTCCCTCTTCCTGATGCTTAGGGCCAGGTTCCAAGTGTGGTGAGGGATCTGAGGGATTTCTGGGCTGCCAGAATGCATTCAGGTGGAGCCAAGCATCCAGGTTGGGTAGCAGAAACTACAATGTATACATGCTTCTCCCAGGAAGCCAGGCAGGGGCCATGTAAGAGGCTGGTGGACAGGCATGCCTACAGGATAGACATGTCCCAGTCCTGCGGGTAAGCAGGCCTTGCTTTCTCCCTGCAGTTTAGCTGGGGCCAAAGCCTCTGAGAGAGATAGGCAGCTGCAGAGGTGGGACTTTATGGTTGAGCTCCACCAGATCCGACCCATGCTAAAAAGTCCTGGCTCTGTGCCTGCTACAGCTCCATCTCCATCTACTCTCCAGGGAGATCTCCTTGCCAACTCACATGTCCATGGGGGTGTGGAGTTTCCTGCAGCCAGGATCCCAGTGGTCTGCAGCGAGAGTGAGCAGCCTCCCAGTCCCTTTACTCACTTCTTCCCCAGATGCCACTCAGGGCCAAAAAGCAGTCATAGCGTTCAGGCACCCCATAAGGGCACCCCAGCTTCCTTGCTCTTCAGTCTTAGAAAACGCACCTTTTCTCCATCCACACTATCCATTTTCTCTCCAAATATCTATTCAAACTATGTTGATGTAGTCAAAATTGTGGTCTTTCTCTTTGGGAGCAACACTTGCTGGCTGCATCCAGTAAGCCATCTTGGAAACTCTCTTAAAAGTACTAATGTGGCAATTTCTCCTAAAATTATCTATAAATGCAGTGCAATCCCAATCAAAAGCCCAATAACTTTTTTTAAATGGAAACAGAAACTAACATTCTAAAATTCAAGTGGAATCTCAAGGAACCAAGAATAGTCAAAACGATCGCAAAAAAAAGAGATAAAAATGTTCAGAGCTCTAATTTCATAATGAGAAATTTCCTAACGTCAAAAGTTACTCACAGTCATGTTACTCAAAACAGTGTGGTACTGGGATAGAGACTACAAACAAATGA
The DNA here is from genome assembly GCF_000001405.40 of Homo sapiens. Lineage (NCBI taxonomy): Eukaryota > Metazoa > Chordata > Mammalia > Primates > Hominidae > Homo > Homo sapiens. The sequence goes on along the minus strand of NT_187383.1, from coordinate 31,892 downwards.
AATAAAATAGTGTCTCTCAGAGGACACTATCAATAGAGTAACAGGACAACTCTGAATAATAGAACATACTCCATAACAATACTCTAATAATACATCTGGCAAGGTATTAATATAGGGAAAATACAAAGTAAAAAGGTTTGAAAATCTTCAACACTCCTCATGATAAAAACATTAAATAAACTGGAAATAGAAAAGATATTGTAAGACATCTATAAAAACCCCACAGCTAACATCATACTTGATGTTAAAAGACAAAATGCTTTCTACCTAAGATCAGAAATAAGACAAAGATGTCTGTTCTCACGACATCTATTCAACATGGTAAAAAAAAAGCTGTTAGCTAGGAAATTAGGCAAGAACATAAAAGTATTAGTGATTTTAAAGCAAATACACACATAGCACCCAGGCATAAATACAAAAGCAGACTTTTCACTGCACATAAAGGTGGATACACGCAGACAAAGACACGCAAGCTTGTTAACTGTCAGAGTTAGCAGCTGAAACACATAAATAAATGCTCAGAGAGACACCCAGTTTAGACCTCTGCTCTCTTTACCACACTCTCCTCCCACATTAGCAGTAACCACTATCTTACACATTGTTTATTTTACTTGTATTATATATTTATTTTTTCCTAGAATATCAGCTTCAAGTGGGCAGAATTATTTGTTTTGTTTTAGTCATTGCAGCACCTCCTAGAACATCTGCTACACAGGGCAAGATTAATACATAATAAATCACTGGGCTCAAATTCACACAACTATACACAGTGCTTTTCCATGAACCTCATCATAGGCCCATATAAACTTGATTTGCACAAAATGAGTTTTTCTTAACTCGATCTTATGTGGCAGGGTGGTGTCTTCTGAACTCCAAACAAATTCCTAAAGGTTAGCTTACTCAAATGAATTGAAAATGTAAGTCCACACAAAAACCTGCACAAAAAAGTTTACAGCAATATTAATTGTAGTTTTCACAAAACTTGGAAGCAACCAAGATCATGTATTCACCAAGGTCAGAGGTACAAAATTATTATACAAAAATCAATTCTACTTCTATACACTTGCAATGAAATATCTAATAATGCAGTTGAGGCAAAAACAAATCCATTTACAATAGCAATTAAATAATAAATCATAGAAATAAATTTTTAAAAATGTGAAAGGAACTTATAATCTGAAAACTACAAACCTTATCGAAAGAGGTTGAAGATCTAAATAAATGAGAAACCATTCCATGTTTATGAATCAGTAGGTTTAATACATTATGATGACAATAACTCCCCAAACAGTCTACATCCAGTACAATTAGATTCAGTACAATTAGAATTCAAGGTGACTACCATGTAAAAACTGAAGCATTGATGCTGAAATTCATATAAAATTAAAAGGGACTAAGAATATCTTTAAAAATCTTTAAAAAGATGCCAAATAAAAGGACTCACAAATTACAACTTCAAAATTTGCCTCAAAGCAACCTTAATCAAGATGGTGTAGTAACGACACAAGGAAAGTCATTTAGATCAATGAAATACAACTGAGAGCCCAGAGAGAGTAAAATCAGCAAAATGTCAAGAATGTACAGCTCCAAACACCTGCTCCTCCACAGAAACAGGGAAAACCAAGCAGAACTGTCAGAAACGATGTTGTAAAACCTGTTGAAAACCATCAAGTTGTACAGCAACCATGTAACTACAAAATCAAGAAAAACAATGAAGAACAGGAGAAAAGCCTCGTGGACTTTTTACACGTCCTTGCCCAAATCCTTCCCTTACTTGATGGCAGTCTTAAAAACAACATCCTGAGTTGCCAGTATGGGCCTCTGCTCAGTGGTTCCAGAGGGAAAAGAGGAGGTCTTACTTGCAAAGTATTGTGTTGTTACATTAAAATCTGTATTAGGGCTATCCAGAGGTCTGAAACAAGGCTCTCTTTTTTCTCTAAGTCAGAAAAAAAAATCAGTTTAAAAAATTGGCACGAGTTACTTGGGAGTATTTTAAGGAAACTGAAAGCCAGCAGCCCCCTGGAGAACAGATTACAGACGACACATACAATAGGTCACATAAAGCCAAGAATAAAAAGCTAACGTGAGATTTTGTTTTGTTTTACAAATTAGGCTATTAAAAAGCACCCAGGTATGCTGGCAAATTGACAAAGCACTCTGTGCATAACCACGAAAAACACATTTTCTTAAAGACCCAAGAAGACCCTCATTTTCAGCACTGGCTGACCTTCAGGCTCAGCTCAGCAGAAAGTGAAGACTGAAGCAAAGTTTTCAACAGTCTGCACATGTGTTAAAGGAACGCCCCAGCCCAGAGCCATCCACAAAAACTGGAAGAATCCGTCAGTTTGTCTTTGTCTCAGTTTTGTCATATAGACCTTTGTGACACACAGATCTATATACAATGGAAACTACAAATTTCTAATGAAAGAGCCATGAAAGATCACAAAAGATCTTAATAAATAGAAAGACATTTAATGTGCATGATCATAAAATCTCAATATTGTCAAGATATAATTTCTCCCCAATTTGAGTTATAGGCAAGAGAGTCACATCATCTAGGTGATTGGCCAAACATATGTCACAATCCCTTCCATTGACAGCTCCCAAAAAAGGAGTTACATCACCTAGGTGCTCAGCTCTGAGATGTGTCACAACATTGCCCAATACAGGCAGGCCACAGGCGGGAGAGTCACATTTCCTGGGTGCTTGGCCCAGTGGTATGTCACATTTCCTTATGTAGGAAGGGCACACGTAGCAAGAGAGAGTCACATTACCTAGGTACTGTGCTAGAGCTATCAGTCTCTGTGTCGTTCAATGTGAGAGTTATGATCTCTTTAGACATCCATGTAACAGAGCCTCAACTCCTTCATCCTCAGATGTAAAGGCTAGTGAAGACCAAATAAGCCTTGAAAGGTAATTCCCCTAAAAAGGCAGAATGTCTTAGGCTTTGGCCTCTCCCCTTCAAGCACAATGAGATCATAACCTCTCTTTTGACTTCTCACTATGCCCAGCACTGGAACAAAGCTCCTGACTCCACACCCTCACCTTTCCACCCTTGTGCCTTCACTGGGCAGACAAGAGATGAGAAGACCTGAACTCTGGGACAGTCTGGGGAGAAAAGAATCCAAAAAGGGTTGAGGCGGCAAGGGCTGAGCTCCCACGGGTGCCCCGGCCCAAAGGTGCAGGTCCAGGCTGTTTTCCAGGTGGCATTCAGTGCAGGTTCTTCAATGCCACTGGAAGGCATGAAAAACCCACTGTAGCTGCTGCTGCTTCCTTTTCTTAAGCTGTGAAAATGCAAACACTTTTTCAAGGTTTTCAGATATGCCCAGGTACCCCCAACTGAAAAGGAGGATAATGGCATTGTTCATCATGGCTTATTGTCTTGCCCAGGCAGGAGCCAGCCCCTGACTCGCCAATCCAGCTGCCCCAGGCTGGAGGTGATCCTTTCGAGCCTCCTCCCTGCAACTCCACTCCTCTTTTTTCTCTTCCTCAACCACCGGCATACTTTTGGTCATCCTCCTTGTTGTCACAATGGGGGCGTGATGCCATAAAGACCTGGGAACCCCAATGATCTCAGGTCCCGCAGGGGTCAGGTGAGCATATAGGAAGTCCAGAAGGACAGTCATCTGCCACCTCCAGTTGAAAAAGAACAAAACCCTCGCACTCCAGAAATGAGTCAAGAACCCAGCGAAGGCCACAGGTCTAGCCCACAACCACCTAGGTATGTGGGGTCCTCCAAGGCTCACGCTTGTGTCCTGCAGGCTGGAGCCCATGCGAGGGTCTGCAGTCTTTGTTCCGGATGGGGAACTACTGCTTCAGCTGGTTACCCAGGTGTCCCCGATGGGGAAAGGAAGGAAATGGTGAGAATCTTCAGCACAACGGATCACATCACCCTGGCAGAGACCAGTCCGGCCTGCGCATGGCACCAGCAGCCGCAGGCTAGAGGCAGTCATGTCAGGCCTCCTCCATACAGCATCTCTCCTGCTTTTTTTTCAAACGGCCCTAATCACTTAATTTGGTCATCTTCCCTGTCACAATGGGGCACCTGGCGCTATAGACACTTGGGAAACACACAGATCTGGGGTCCTACAGTGTCCAGGTGAAGACGCCGGGAGTCAGAGAGGAAAGTCTTTTGAAGCCTCCAAAAGGAATGCACAGGACCCCACTTGAAGAGGTGGAGTGCCCAGTGGCGGATACAGGCCCCACACATCGCAGCAGTAAACAGGTAAGGCGCTCCCTGGCCCATGCCTGTTTCCTGGAAACTGAAGCCATGCCCAGGCTGGGAGTCACCATTCCAGAAACAGAATAAGCTGTTGGGCTGGCTACCTCACCCAGCACCCGGCCACGCCAGAGAGAATCTTGGATGCTGCTTTCCCACAGGCTGTAGTGCCTTCCAAGTTAGGCCACCCTAATAACAGTTCTCCCACAGGGACTCCACGGTGTCCAGCTCTCCAGCCTGGGGTTTCTCATCACCCAGTGATTCCAAAAGAAACGATCTACAATGGCATGACTAAGTTCCAGAAACAAATAAACAAAATACTGAGGGAAGCCCGTTGGTCACTTTGATTCTTCAAAGGTGACAATTGTCCCTCCCTGAAATCTTGTGAGTGCATGAACAGGCTATTCTAATGTAAATGAAATTCACACTAAAACTGATTGAAAGATGATTCTGTTTCCAAGGTACTTTGTATTCTCAAATTGCACCTGCTTACCCTGGCCCCCTCAAAATGGAAGAGTGATGACTATTTGTCTTCGTAGCACTGTGGGGACACAGAGCCTTAAATGGAAGAGTGTCAAAAGCAACATTCCATAAAGGGCTGTCACTTCCAATTTTCAAGCAAGGTTGGAAACCAACCATGATGTATGAAACACTGTTGGCCAAAGTGCACAATTAGTAATACAAAATGAATAATATAAACTATTGTAAATATGTGTGGACATCGTGGCAATTTGGACATCAAAAAACACTGCCAAATTCAGAAAGAGGAAGCTGTAAACTCATGGCTGTTAGGAAGCTTAACTTCTGTGTACTAGAACCTATCAAAATTAAATTTCTCCATGTCAATCCGTCCAAACAAACATTGAGATGTTTATTTCTATATAATTCCTATTGAATCCTACTGGGCAGGACCCTTCTGGCCCCATCCTCACAGCACTGGTGCAGTGAAACTGCACTTGCTCCTGCTTCCCCCTATATTGTTAGGAGTGGAAATATTTAGTAACAGGGTGGATTGGGAGGCTACTGAGGCCTCCTGCGTGGGTGGGTCAGGTCTCCTGCAGCCCAAACCTTTTTACAATAAATAAGTTATAGGTAAAATTAGAAAAAAATTAAAAAATGGAACTCATTCTGTTTCTTTGCTCACCACAAAGAGAAACACAGCATCTAGAGATGTCTGTTGGAGCCAGGCTTGTCCTGGGAAAGTAAGAAGTGCTGAGCAGGAGCCCTGGGGATGGAGGGCAGGTGAGATGGGGCTCCCAGGAAGATGCAGCCAAGCCTGGCTCACTCAGGCTGGCAGGGGCCCTCTGAAGTCCAGGAAAGTTGGTCCAGGACACTGAAACTCAAGTGACTCATCTGGGCCAAAGATCTGACCAGGTCGCACTGAATCTCATCAGCCCTGCCAACTGGAGGTCTGATCAGCCTTGAAGATCTTGCTCACTGGAGGCAGACAGCTGGTGGATGGGTCAGGAGAGCTGCCTACTGCCAATGTAGGAGTGCACTCAGTGTAGGCCCGCTGCCCCACTCAGTGGCCTGGATAACCTGCTGAGGCTGCAGCTTCTTCCAGTTTTTGAGCAATAGGGGCATGCACCATTTCCGAAGGTTTTCAGGCAATCCCTGGTGACCTCTGGCAGGGGGTGGTTATCTTGGCAATCTCCAGCAGGGCCTATGGACTTGCTCCCAGGCAAAACCCAGCAATCCCTGTGCCTACCCAGGCACTAAGCATTTGTGGTGGGGCTTTCTGGAAGCTCGCCTTCTCCTGCTGGCTCTTCGTTTTCCCCACCCCGGTACTTCTGGCCATTCTCCCTGTCATCATCACAATGAGACAGCTGGGTGCTGGAGACTCAGAAACTGCCATGCAGACCTTGAGTCCTTCCCAGGCCCAGCCAACAGGGCAGAGAATCCAGGAGAAAAGTCATTTTCACCTCCTGAAGGACCAGAGCTGACCAGGCACCTAGAAGCTGTGCCCCACTGCAGGCTGCCGGTGGAGCTCATGACAAGGCCGGAACAAGGCCGGAACGTGAAGCACTCCCTTGTCTGTCCTTTTTTCCTGAAGGCTGGGGCTTGCCCGGCCAATGTCACCCTTCAGGACAGGGAATCAGAGCTTTGCATGGCTGCCTTACCCCACCAGGGCAACGCCACAGAGAATCATGGCTGAGGCTTTCCTGTGGGCTGCAGTGCCTGACCCTTTAGGGTCCCCACAAAAACACCTTTCCTGCAAATAATCCACCGTGTCCTGCTTGCCAGCCTAGGCTTCCTCATCAGTTGGTGATTTCAATGAAAACAAACTACAGTGGAATGAACAAGTTCTAAATCAGGAACACACAAAGAATCTGTGGAAAGTCCATTTGTCATCTAGATTTTTAAAAGATACACATTTTCCCTTCTTGTTATATTCAGTAGTGCATGAAGCCAATATTATAATAGATGTGCAACTCACACTAAAGCTGACTAAAGGGTGAATTCTTATTCTAAGGTACTTTGTGGTCTCAAATTTATCTGTTCCCACCCCCAGGACCCCATTAAAACTGAATAATTGTCATTGAGAGCAGATGTAGAAAGAAACTAGCTAGGCAGATAGAGCAAAGAGTTCTCAACAGAACGTCCCTTCTAACAGAAAGCAACCCAGGAATTCACTTCTCTTTAACAAAGAGCAGCCTGGAAAATTGGGCTGCAATCATACAAAAGGAAGCTGGAAGCTTGTGTGGGCAGGGATGCCTGCAGCTGCATGGGTAGAAATGACCACCTTGGGCCAGACATATCCAACATGGGGGGCCCCACCCCTCTTTGTAGCATATGCACAGTAGAAAAGAGATAAGCAACTTGGAGTAGCTCAGGCTGAGAATCTGCCTGCATAATAAAAGGTTGGGGTGTGAGCTGCCAGAGATTCATGCTCTAAGCAGATGACACACCTGGTCCTAACCACTTTTTCATGCCCTATGTGGATAACATACCCCCTCCCACTAGCTCATCTATAAAAACACTTGTATTTCACTGCAGAATGGCAACTCTTTTTTTCTGGATCCCTCTCTGCAGCAGAGAGCTGTTCTCTTTTTCTCACCCATTAAACTTTTGCTCTAACCTCACCTTTGGCATATCTGTGTCCTTGGTTTCCTCGGTCCTGACACCAAGAAGTTCAGGTGTAACCCCAGAAGACACGGCCAGTTTATCATGACTTGTCTCATTGCCTCTTGGGACATAGAAACGTCAATGAAAATGTGTCCAAAAGGACATTTCATAAAGTGCTCTCTCTTCCAATCTTCAAGCAATGTGGGACTATCCATCATGTACAAAAAACTTGTGGCTGAAATGCACAATTTCTAATACAAAAATGAATGCTATAAATTACTCTATGTATGTGTATTATGGCCATTCAGACATCGTCACACATTGCCACATTTAGATAGAAGAACCTGTGAACTTGTGGCTGTTAGGAAGCTTAACTTGTGCATACTGTCACCTATGAAAGTTAGTTTTCCCTGCGTTTCTTGAAACCAACCTTGAAATGTCCATCTTGTACACAATTTCTATTTATCCCCAGTGAGGTTCACCCATCTGGCCCCGCCCTTACAGCCCTGGTACCAATGGAATTGCACTTGCTTATGCTTCTTCAAATTTTCTTGAGGTCATAAACATTTAGTGACAGAGTGGAATGAGAAGGTACTGAAGCAAGGGCTGATGCCTTCTGGGTAGATGGGTAGAGATCTCCTGCAGCCTGGACATCTTCAAAATAAGTAGGTTATAGGTCAATTTAGAGAAAAAAATAATACTCTTTCTTTGAACACCACAAAGAGAAAAGCGCTGGATCTAGATGTGTCTGTGAAGCCAGGCTTGTCCTGGGAAAGTGAGAAGAGCTGAGCAGGAGCCCTGGCAATGGAGGGTGGGTGAGATGTGGTCCCCACGGAGAGACCGCTAGGGTCAGGGCTTGGTACAGTGAGGCTGGCAGGGACCTTCGGAAGGCAAGGGAAGATGGCCAAGGACACAAGGCTGAAGCAACCCATCTGAGCCAAAGATCTGTTTAGGTCCTTCTGAATCTCAGCAGCCTTGCCAAGGAAGGCATGATTACCCATGGGTATCAGAGACACTGGAGGCTGGCAGCTGGCGGGTGGGCCAGGAGGCCTGACTACTGCACAGGTGTGATTTCACTGGCAGGCCAACTGCAGGGAGTGGATAAAGAGAGAGCTCTGTGTGGGAATCTCTCTCGGTGGATCATCGAAGAGGTGAAGTCTTCTTCATAGCCTCAAACCCAATTTGTGGGATAGCAATTCCAGTGAAGCTGGGACAAGCTGGCACTGCTCAACCAGGCCTCCCAAGATACCAGGTTTCTTTCCACCACAGCTGGGCCTGGATTGGGATGTGAACATCTATCCCAGAGTCCAGAGGATGGGACCCTGGTCAGTGATGGTGCTGGTGTGTGGTGTGAAGCCAGGTAGGGCAGACTCTTCAGGTGGGAGGAGAAGACAGCCTCTCCTGTGGGCTCCTGGGCAAGTCAACACCCTCTTTGGGCCTGTCTCCTCAACTGGAAAATGCAGAAAGCCTGTTGTGCAGGCCTCACAGGGTCATGATAAGGGGCAAAGGATGAAGGAAACTTCAGAATTCTTGTGCCCACCTCTTCCTGAGAGGGATGATGGTGAGAACAATGGTGATAGCCACATGCAACTGAGTCCTCAGGAGGTACTGTGAGGAAGGTGTTGTTCTCATCACACTTCCTAGATGAAAAAACAGTTTCAGGAAGGCCTGGCTGCATGCCCAAGGTTACACACACAGTGAGTGTTAAAGCTGGGAGTAAATCTAGAATCAGGACTCACTGGAGCTGGTGGGAGCATTACACCGGCTGACTCAGGCAGTTATCCAAGATCTGAGGTCGCTGGGGCTGGAGTGTAACTGTGAGACAGGCACAGTCTCACTGACCCTGTTTCTGACTCTACTAGGTAGGAACCTTTTTAAAGAGTCCAGATGGGGCTGCAGCAGCAGGTGAATTGGCCTATGGTAGGGAGGGGCTCCAGAGAGTCAAGGACAGGGCTCCTCCCTCCCAGCTGGAGTTCTCCACATCAAGAGACCTGGGTGTCTTCCTCCTCCAGCCCTGCCCTCCTGTGGCCACAATGCTTGGAATGCCTTCATTAGAGAGACTAGAGAAAGGGCCTGGGAGAGCTAGGCTCAGAGTAGATTAGACGAAGAGTGAGGGTGGGGACGATCTGACTTTGTGATTTATTAAAATCACACCATAGAGGTAACTAAGAAGTGCTTAGCGTCTTTGGAGGTCAGCTGTGGAAAGAGGAGGGAAAGATTTTGGGCAAGGAGGTGAAAGGTCCTTGGATGCTCTGAGTGAGAGACTTGGGTACGGGGGTCAAGGAGAAATAGGTTGGTGAGAGTTCAAAGGAGAGGTCTTGTGCAGTTAGCTGAGAATTGGTGCTCATCACTGCTACCACCTTGATAACACAGGCTGCTGTGCCCCCACTCCCCTCCCCCCCACCCCCCACCCCGGGCACACTTCTCAACAACCTGCAGATGCTGGAAATTGCCATAGAGGATTATAGAGATGTGAGTGAGACTGGGGCAGGCAGGCAGGGTGGGGACCAGGATCCTGAAGCTTGCGAGGACAGAGTCCTGGACTGAATCCTGAGACTGCAGCACTCAGCAAACCCCTTTCCTGAGAGCCTACCAGATGCCCCTGTAAATGGCAGTGTCAGTTCCGTCTTATCTATGAGTGACGGAGCCTCCAGCAAAGACACCATTTCCTGTTCCTTGAGTAGTAAAGCTGCAGAGCTAAGTCTCAGCCTCTGCCTTAGCTGGTACCCATTGCAGAAGAGAGAAATTGGGCCCCTCCTAAGACAGGCAGGTCCTAAATTGTTGAGTAACTTCTTTGTTTCCAAGGCCTTTGTCTCCCTATCATCACAGAGAATCAGGGAGAAAGGTCACTGAGCCTCAGTGTCCCTTCTGTGGAGCCCAGAACCTGATGCAGGTCTAAGTCCTGTTTTATGCACATGCTCTGACCCTGGTGGCCCTGGTGGTGGTGCAGCATAGGAAGTATAAGGGATGAGGTCTAGTCCTGTGTCAGGAAGCCTTTCTCATGAATCTTGGCTGTCTACCTCCTAAGAACATATAATCAACACTAATAAAGGAAGAAGGTGAGCAGCTGGCGCTGTCGCTTTGAGGGAGGGTGGGGATGTGAAAGTCAGACACCACCCTGAGGAAGACACTCCTTGGCTCCATCCTCTGCATCTTAGATTTATTGGGAAGGTTTGATACACAGAGAAGCAGGAGCCCCATCCCAATGGAGGGTTTGATTAGGGGAATAGAATCAATGATAAACTCCTAGAGGAGGGACTGTTTATATCCAACTCTTGAGAACAGGTTGGGGCTACATGGGATTGGAGGGGAGGGTAGGACCCCTTAAAAGAAAGGCCCTAGAAATTGTCCCTACCCCTTCACACCCCCACAAGTTCCCTTTGTCATCTTCCACCCAGGACCTGTCAGAATCCTGCCCTTCCTTCTGTCTCCAGATCAAAGTCCTCCAGGAAATGCAGCTGCTTCAGTGACAAGAGATAATCGTCATCTTCTGACTGAGGAGGAATTTGGGGTTTGGTTCCAGTGCATGAAGCTGCACAGTCAGAATAAAAGATGAGGGCCTAGCAGATTAGCAAAGACTAGGAGAAGACTCTATCTTGTGGCCAGCTTCAGAGAACCTGGGGCCATAGCTCCCTGGTCAACATTAGGCCTGCTGCATGGGGACCCTGGGCAGGCAGTGGGAAGCCTGAGGTGTGGCTCCTGGTAGCCTCACAGCTGCCACTATTTTCTGAAGCTCCTCCTACTTGTTTTGTCAGACGGGCCCCTATTCCAGCAGGCCAGCAACACCCTCAAGACCAAGAACAGGCCATGGTGAATCTCAGGGCCATTGAGTGCCTGGGCTGGCAGGGGCAGAGTGCCTCAGGGCTCAGTGACATTTGGCCTGAGTGTTGGCTTTGGGAGTCAGACAGCTGCACTGGGCTCCCAGCTTCACCATGACCAGTAATGTGTCTGGGGCCGGGGCCTCACTGCTCTAAAACTTGAGACACCATAGTGATAAATTTTACACACCCTTCTAACTGCTTTTTCTTTTTTATCTGTCTTTCTCTATAATCACCATGTACTACTGATCTCTGTTTATTTAAATTAATAAGCATGTTATACAGTGTGTATTATTCTTCCTCGTGACTTCTTTACTACATTGTATGATTCCACTCATATGAGGTACTTACAGTAGTTCCATTCATAGAAACTCAAAGTAGAAGAGTAGTTCCTAGAGGCCAAAAGGAAGGTAACGGGAACAGAGTTTGAGTTTTGCAAAATGAACAAATTTCCCTATGAATGTGGATGATGGTTGTAGAACAATGTGAGTATGATTAATTCCTCTGTCCTGCACTTTTAAAAATTGTTAAAATGGTTAATTTTATGTATATTTTACCACAATGTAAAAAAGGACTTTTTTAAATGAACAAACTGTAGATATCTGTAACAGCATAAATATCACAAATATAATATTGCATTAAAAAATTGATGTAAAAGTATCCATACTGTGTAATTTTTTATATTACACTCAAAAATCAAAACTGAGGTTCTGGCTTCCACTAATGATGAAGTAGCTAACTGAACTAACACTCTCACACAGAAAAATGATGAATCCTGGGTAAATTATTATATATCATTATAGAAACATTTCTATATACAATACATACATGAAATATGTGTATATAAAAACTGAATGCATATTTTGGCTATGACTTCCATAGGAGAGATAAGTATTGAAGATAGAATCCAGCCCATTTAACACCATCTTTTAAAAACAACACTCTTCACAGGGACAAAACAGAATCCAGTCTTTTTAATCCAGTCTTGTATACAGTCTCCAGGGCACAATTTCCAATTCAAGGGATGCGTGAAGACACGTGAAAATGTAATAAATACACAAGATAAAAAGCAGGCAGTAGCCATCTCCAAGATGTCCAAGATGTAAACGGCAGACAAGAATTTGAAGGCAGCTATTATAAACACGCTCATGAGGGCAAAGGAAAATATTCTCATAAATGAATAGATGTGAAACATCAGCAGAGAAAAAATAGCCATATAAAAAATGAGAAATAAAAATAATAATTTTGAGCTTTTCTATAGTTCAGAAACAGAGACATAGCAATATAATTTATCCAATCTGAGGAGAGGAAAAAAAAAAGAAGTTTAAAGAAAATGAACAGAGCCTTACAGACCTGTGGGATGACTGAGTCTGAGAAAAGGTGAGAGATAGAAAAAATCAAATGGAGTATAAAAGTAAATCAACAAAATTTAAAGAAAATAAACACAGCCTTAGAGACCCATGGAATTATTGAGCCTGAGGAGAGGAGAGAGACAGAAGAATTAGATGGGTTGGAAAAATAAATCAATAACTAACAGCTGCAAACTTGCAAAAATTGTTCAAAAACCTATTTTTTTTTTTTTAATCTAAAGATCCACGAATCCCCCACAAAAGTACAAATAAAACCATACCAAGGCCATATTGCAATTTAGGAAAGCAGCAGGCAGGACTTTCAATTGACTTGATATGATTTATCATTTTTACTATTTGTAAGAATGGAAATAAGTTCTTAGAGTTTTGGTCTTGGAGAAAGTCTGACGTTAAGGACAAACGACAGTTATTAAAGGCAGATGACTTTCCAGACTTGTCTTAAATGTTCCATTCTTCACCTTAGAACTTATTTAAATTTGTTTCTTCCAAATACTGCAGTAATATTGATGCTCCAGAGAGATGTCCCACGGAGATTCTGCTCTTGTGCGTCTGCCCTGCACGGAGCTGAGGCAGTGTCTATCAGTTTCAGAAGCGAGTAGTCGTGCAGTACTTAACCTGAAAAACTTAATGGAAACATGAATTAAGAGAATGATCACTGTTTAGTTCTATCAGAAAACTATTAAAAGTGGTCCAAGGGGGTATTTAAAAAGAGATATTAAAGTATTTTCCAAGGGAGCCCTATTCAGGGTAGAAGCGCAGACACTATCCCTGACCTCACCACACAAACTACCCTCATGTGTTGGGAGGGACCAAGGGGCGCTCTGGTCCTGCTGACCTGCATTAATCACGGCCCGGAGGTCCACACTAAGACCCTGAGGCCTGGGAAGCAGCCTGGGTGGGGTCAGAGAAGCGGTGGATGAGGCTCCACAGCAGCTCCCAGGGTCCCATCCCCGTAGCTGTTTCCTTAGTGGATGCAGCAGGGTCAGGCCCTTCCGCTGTGACGTTTTCTCCTCTTTATTACACTGGTGGGAAAGTCTCCGTGAGAGGCCCGACCTAGATATGGACCACGCAGCGAGCCCGGGGGTCCAAGCGGCGCTCCTGGGGTGCAGAGGATTTGTGACAGCCTAGAGAACAGAGGAAATGGTTTTGAAAAGGCAAATGGCAGGTGACTAGGGACACGATGTTTTCACTTCTGGCAGTCAAGTGACAGTTTCAGACACTCATGAACGGGCTTCTCGAGGGGATCCCAAGGAGCCTCCAGGTCGGCCGCCATTACCCTACACCTAGGGACGGGCTGCACTGCGCATTTCCGAAAGGGCAGGCCCCTTAGCCCCACCCCTAGGAATGGGTGCACTGCGCATGTGTGAAAGGGCAGGACTTTTATCCCGCCGCTAGGGACGGGCTACACTACCCATGTCTGAACGGGTGTGACAAGAGGGAGGAGCGAGAAGGGACGGGGCGGAGCGGGAGATGGGCAAGAATAGCGGCGCGGTGCGGCCAACGTCCGGCGGAGGATCGTTACCACGGCAACGCTGCTGTGGAGGCCATGAAAGGCGAACGGCCCTTTGTTGGCTGACAGGAAATCGAGACACTCGTGAGGGGGCTTCTTGAGGCGATCCCAGGAGGCCTGAGAACTGCCACATCCGCGGCCCTTAACCCAGCCCTAGGGACGGGCCGCACTGCGCATGTCTGAAAGGGAGTGACAAGAGGAGGAGCGAAGGAGGGTGGGGCTGAGGAGGAGGCGGGGTGAGAAAAGGGGCGGGTCGCGCCCCACCCTTGTCTGAGGAGCGTTACCTTGACAACCCTGCCGCGGAGGCAGTGAGAGGCCACCGGCCCTTTGTTGATCTGCAAGGTATCAAACTTCGAACATGACAAGCATAAAAGCCTGCAGCTCGAGGAGACAGGGTGTCACAATTACCAGGTGAAACTAGCCGCCCTAGCTCCAATGTCTCTTCAGCAGGAGAGATTTGGAAACAGCAAGGCTCCTCTCCGCAGGGCGAAACTGCTGGGCTGCGAAAGGCGGGACAGGGAGCGGAACCGTCTTCAACCGTTCCGGGAGTTCTGGTGTCTGGTCCGCTCCCGGCTGTTGGTCGCAGGGCAGAGGGTCTAGGATGCCAGCTGGCTGCGGGCTGGGAGATGCAGGGTGAGGCGCGCATCGCGGTGCATACTGGGAGTTGTAGTCTCTCCACCGTTCCCCACGGTGGATGGTGGGGCTACAGGAGGACAATCCCAGATTGAGACAGGAGCGGAGGCGGGGCGCGGCCGTGCAGGGAGGGGGAGGGCGGTGTAGGCGGCTTCGTTTACCAAGCTTGCTGGCCATTGATTTCATGCCAAACCCTCGCCAAGGGGATTAAATCAGGAGAGGAACTTGAAGGGCAGGCCTGGTCTCGCCAGTGAGGAGGATGTGTTGTTGGGAAGTGCACCCCGCCTTTGCCTAAATCGAGAGTGTCTGGTCCTCACTCACGCGACTTCGACTTCCAGCTGCTCAGCTCGATTTTCTTTCCCACTCGCACCCGAGTTCTTTCCAGAGCGTCCCACCTCCTCCAGCCCATGGAGCCGTCTGCTTTCATAAGTGGCTGTGGAAACTGGTCTGAGGTCCCAGACGCTGTCACTGTGCTGCTGCCCTCCGCTCTCTCCAAGCAAAGCACAAGCTGAGCCGCCTTGGAAAGACAACCACGGCCTGGCCTGGGAATGCGCAAGTTCAGAGCTTTGCAGGGAGTGACCATGGGCTGTGGCTTCGTGAAAATGTCACGTTCACCAGTACCCTTTTTGCGGATGTGGCCGTGGAGCCATGAGGGGGGTAATCACTGGGTTACAAAGGTGCTGCTAAGAGCGGAGGAGAAAAACCCAATTCCCAGCCATGTGTCTGGTATGACATTTCACCAACCCATTTAAGTGTGCAGGCCTCCAAATATCTACCTAAAGATTATGATAGATTAGGCATTTTACACTAAAAATCTGTGGCTTCGTGTCCACTAAAGCCTGACTGGCCAGTGCCTAAAAGAAACAGACGATAACCTGATCCCTCAGGAACAGATGGTGTTCTAGCTTTGTGGAAGTGAATTTCAAGGTATGGAGCACTTGAGGGGTCTTTGAAACCTGCCAGGTCTCACATCTCTGCTTTTGGTGAAAAGCTCATCAACTAACAGTAGTCAGGAATGTGCCTTTACTTCCTGGGGCTGGTCTGTTGAAATTTTGTGTGTGGACAATGGAAACATCCAGGAGCATTTCTGCTTTCCTATAGCCTCTTAATAATTGATGCCCTAAAGTCCTATATCCTTTGATTCCTGGATGGTACAGATTTCATGCTGTTAAATCTAATCTGCAAAAACCTGAGCGTTAATCTCCATGAATAGAAGAACTTGTTGTTTCTTATTTAAATGCTCTTTTTTCTCTTGTCTTAGATTCTGAGCAGGATTTCCAATACGGTGTTGAAAGAAGTAGTGAGAGTGGGCATCTTTTTCTTATAATAAATCTTAAAAACAATTCCAAAATTTCACCATTGACAATAATGTTAACCATGGGATTGTCCTATAGCTTATAAAGAACATATCTCTTTATTTTGAGGTATATTCTTTCTATACCTAATTTGTTATAGATTTTATTTGGAATGGATTTTAAATTTTGTCAAAATAATTTTAGGCATGCATAAAAAAGTCATGATTTTTAATCTTTTTGTTGTGTAAATAAGGAGTATGGCATTTATTGATTTCCACATATTAAAATATTATTGCATCCCAGGAATAAATCCAACTTGATCATAATAAATGATCCTTTTAAAGTGCTTTTGAATTTCATTTGCAACTACGTTGCGGATGATTTTTCATCTATGTTCATCAGGGATATTGGCCTGTAATTGTTTTTCTTGTAATGTCCATCTCTGGTTTTTGTATCAGTGTAATGCTGGCTTCATAAAATGAGTTTGGAAGTATTCCTCCTCCTTCAATTTTTTCAAAGATTTGGTTCTTTTTAAATGTTTAGTAAAATTCAGCAACAAAGTCATCAGATCTAAACTCCTTACCCATTACTGATCTATTCATATTTTCTATTTCTTTATGCTTCAGTCTTGGTGGGTGGTACTTGTCTAGAAATGTATTCATGTCTTCTCCCTTATCCCATTTGGTGGGATATCATTGTACATAGGAGTCTGTGTACATAGCAGTCTTATGACCTTTTTTTATTTCTGTTTTACCAGTTGTAATGTATTCCCTTTAATTCTGATTTTATTTATTTAAGCATTTATTTCTTAGTCTAGCTAAAGATATGCCAACTTCATGTTTTCATAAAACAAGCTCTTACAATTTTTCTACATTTTCTATTGTTTTTCTAATCTTCAGTGTATTCATTTCTGCTCCGATTTTTTTTACTAATTTTATTATCTGGGAACGTTGGGATAAGTTCTTCCTCCTCTAGTTTCTTGAGTTGTGTCATTATTTGTTTATTTGTGATCTGTTTTCTCTTTGGTTGAAGGTGTTTACTGCCACTCCATTTCACTGGGATTAGCACCCATATGCATTGTGGTCTTTTTGTTTGAGTTCATCAAACTTCTGATCCTAAGTCTGCACCTTTAGCATACTGGTAAGCAGCAGTGCTAAAAGCCTACACGATGAGTAGGGGATTTAGGATGAGAGAATTACCCAGTAAGTTTTGGGAGGGACTAATATTAAGTTATCTTTCTCTTTTTTATTTCTCATCAGTGCCTGAACCATAAGGCACAAGGAATGAGCCCCTCATCGTGAGAGTGCATGTGACAGGAGCAAAGGAAGCGGCAGCTCAGGAAAGACAAGGTCACTGTTCTTGCTCCCATGACGGTAGCACTTGTTAGAGCAACTGAGTGACGTGCATAATTCTCTCCAAAGTAAAAGTCCTTTTTGTTTTTTGCAATTTTACAAAAAACCGTCCCTGGGCCTTTCCTGAGAGTGTGCAATAATAAGCAATGTTCATATGACTACCCGGGCATTTAGTAATGGTAAGCAGACCAGATGAAGTGACCACAGGGATATAGCCTGACTCTTGGTAATCAGGACTGAAGTACTCACTGATTAAGGTTCTGTGTTTTCACTGCCTTGAAAGGCAAGTGTCTTGCAAGCTGCATGCCAAACAAAGGCTAAATATGATGACACATCAGGCTGCAGCAGAGTCAACTGACCATATATGTCTAGGTGATGAGTGTGCTTTAATGTGGTCAGGGAAGGCAACTCATGATAAAGGCCACAAATGGCTATTTAGACCAAAGCAAAAGCCCACCAGAAACTGGTGGCTCTGACTGAGGTGACTTTTAATGTATCATGAAATCAGTAGGCCAAAAGCAGTTAAAGTTGAGCCGATGTCCTTAGTCATAGTTGGTTAATCCAGTTTGTATTGTGAATTGTTTGATTAGCCTCCCCTTTACCCCATTGGTGAGGGATAAATTACCACCCTTGTACTACTGGAACAGTTAAAACCATGGCACCAATCATTGGACAAATGAGATTGACAGCAGTTATTCGTTACATATAATCATGGAAGAAGGAAATTATATAAGGTATACAGACCCACACAGGGATTGCACTTGGGAGCAGAGAGAACAAACAGGGGGTGTTGGGGAAGGCTTTGTAGTATCAAGAGGGTGAGATGCACCTGGTTCCCACAGGAAGTTGTTATTGGTTGGTCTGGATAATTCTGTGACCTTGGGAGAAACTGAAACACATTATACTACCAATTGCTAAGACTACAATAACATACTATAATAGTGTAATGCTATAATGTACCATATACTGTAATACTAATGACAGTATGTTCTCCCTTTTTTGATAGATTCTCAGAAACTGTGACTTTAAGTAAAACAATGTACTATATAATAAAACCAATTTTACCATTGGCTAATTGATATAAACAAGAGTTAATTTTCCATGGCATATAGTATTTTGTTTCACTTAAAGTCAGTTTCCAGGGACCTATCAATGATGTTAAGTGAGCACTTACTGAACATGTATTTTAGTGATGTGTAATAGAAAGTAGCTATAAAAAATATACTATTCATGTACAAAACTACATGTGGCACACATTACAGTCATGAACCACATAACAATGTTTGAGAAATTGACAGACTATATATATGAGGGTGTTTTCTTGTGAGTATATATATATATATAAACCTACCTTTAAAGGCCAAAGGAGCTGAGAGTTTGAAGAATGAGGCTGACAAATCAAGTTTCTCAGAAAGAAACATTTAAGAGGAACATTTATTAATAGAAGCTATGTCTCAGATAGCTGAAGATGGTGGAACCTCACACTGTGACCCCCTAAACCCAGACACTTATCACAGGAAAGGGAATGTGAAGGACAATTGAAATCACTATATAAATTTGCCTAAGGGTAGGATTTGTGCTAAGTACCTGTTCACAATAGCATCAGGGTTGTTTTGATTTAAGGGTAGGGCTTATAGAACTGTAGGTTTCAATATATGACATAGGTATTTGAAACCCTCACCAAAAAACATTAGAGGAAGTAACTCTGTCATCATTTTAAGTTTCTTTTTTTTTTTTTTAGTAATTTAAAATCTTAAAGTCTGGTTATGTTAAATTAAGTAATCTTAAGTTTCTCACTAAAAATTAGTATTGCTAAGCATTAAAAGAATAGTTTTAAGACAGTTTTTACCCCAGCACTAGTGATTGGATAATACGGCCCCAGGCCCCACCCCTTCAGGTTCTGAATGAGAGAAGATGTGAGCCAACTCGTAGCCAGATGACAACAGGGTAAAATGTTCCAAGCCGCAGCCTTTTTCAGGCAGGACTTCCTCCTTATGCTGAAGCCCGGCCTTCACTGTGGGATATTTGCATTTAACCTTGTATATAAGGTTATTTTTATTTATAAGTTGTATATATGTGGCCAGGCATAGTGGATCTCACCTTTAATACCAGCACTTTGGTAGGCTGAGGGGACAGAAGCTCTTGAATCCAGGCGTTTGGGACCAGCCTGGGCAACAGAATGTGAGGGCCCCACATCAAAACTTTTCTACAAAAAAATGAAAAAATTAGCCAGGCATGGTCACACGTGTCTGTGGTCCCAGCTACTTGGGAGGCAGAGGTGGGAGGGTCACTTAAGCCTGGGAGGTAGAGGCTGCAGTGAGCTGAGATCAGGCCACTGCACTGCAGCCTGGGTGACAGAACAAGATTCTCTCTTTCTTTCTCTGCCTTATTTGTGTGTGTGTGAAGGGGGAGGGGTGTGTGTGTGTATTATTCAAAATAGAAACAAAATAATAACAATTATTTTTATTTTTATTTACATTTTTTTGAGACAGAGTCTCACTCTGTCACCCAGGCTCGAGTACAGTGATGAGATATTGGCTCACTGCAACCTCCGCCTGCCAGGTTCAAGTGATTCTTCTGCCTCACCCTCCCAGGTAGCTGGGATACAGGCACCCACCATGTTGCCCAGCTAATTTTTGTATTTTTAGTAGAGACATGGTTTCACCATGTTGACCAGGCTGGTTTCGAACCGAGGTCAAGTGATCCGCCTGCCTCGGCCTCCCAAAGTGCTAGCATAACAGGCATGAGCCACCATGCCCAACCAATTACAATTATTTTTAATTTTTAGATTTTACAATCTTTCTGGCCTCTTGGCTTTTGAGGCAAACTGAGCTTTGAAATTAGGCAATCCTCTATTGCACCAATGTGCAATAGAAGTAAAATGTGAGCCACATGTGACAATTAGAATTTGCTAGTAGCAGCATAAAGAAAAAGAAAAATGAGTGAAATTGATGTTAACAACATAGCTCAATATATCTGAAATATTTTAACATATAATCAGAATGAAATAATTAAAGAAACATATATATGTGTACATATATACGTACACACACATAGACATATGTTTCTTTAACCCAGCATTATATATTTTTATGCACATATGTATATGTAACTAAATATTTAAATATTTTCTTGTATTTCTCCCCAGCATATCTTAGTTCATGCTGGGCACAATACAGTTGTTCAGTAGCCCCTGTGCCCAGTGGCTGCCACATTGCAAGTGCATCTCTGAGGGCTCTGACTTTTCTGACCTTAGGGAGGTTAAAGGGCCTGAATCCTCCTTTTCTGCCAGATAGGAGTGAATGCCCCTTCTCTGCCAATATCACTCCTGTTTAAAGGATAAGAGAGGTGGTGCCCTGAGAGACAGTAGGGCCTACAAGAAACAAGTGTTCACAGGTAGAACACTGCTGTCCACTTTTGCTTGGTGTGGACTCATCAAACCTCCAGAGATCATACAGCAGTCCAAAAAGTGGGGCCCCAGAAGAGGGAAACCTCATGTTTTTAGATCTGTCCATAGGCTTGATCTGATGTGGAGAGACTAGATTAAAGGCAAACTTTTTATCTTGCAACTTGGCCTTGGCAAATTAAATAGAAATATGTCACTATAAAAATCAATTAAATAAAAAGGAAGGCAGTAAGAGCAGAAAAGAGGAGAAAATACCTACAAGAAACAAATAGAACTATTAACAAAATGGAAGTAGTCCATTCTTTTCACAATTAAAATGAATATATACATAGAGTAAAATTTCCAACAGAAATGTGTAAATTGGCTAAAGAGATTGAAAGAAAAAACGATTTGTTTTCTGCTGTCTATAAGAAACTCACTTTAGATCTAAGCACACAGATAGGCTAAAAGTGCAAGTATGAAAAATATCTTCTAGGAAGATTGCAATCAAATGAGAGCAAGAGGGGTCATAATTATGCAAAATACACATTAAGTCAAAACTGAATTAAAGGACAAATAAAGATAGTATATAATGATACAAGTGTTGATTCACTGGGGAAGCTGTGTTAATAATAAATATATGTACACTTCACATCGGGGTTTCCAAATGTATAAAGCTAAGATCGACCCAGATGAAGAAAGAAATAGCTATGCAAAAATAGTAAGAGACATAATTATCCGACTATCAGTAGCAAACTCTGTAAACCGAACAGACATATAGAAAACACTCATCACAGTGAATAGATTCAGGAAGCTGAAGGCCCATGGGACATGACCAACTCAGCATTCCACTGGAGGCTATATGATCAAACAGCAAACTGTTTATCATGAATGCAGGATGTGGGCAAACTCACACTGCCCTGCCACCAAAAGGTTTGCTGAGGGCCTCATTCCCTGGCACCAGGCTCCTTGAAGTTATCTACTGAGAAATCCAGTGCCTATTGTTCTAAGAATGCAGTCTCTCGAGTCAGCTGTGAATCAAGCTGCTGGTGGAAAACCACCCCCGCCTTCTCACTATCTCTTTTACCTAATAAATATGGAGGGCTGTGTAAAGCTCAGGTACCTTGTCCACTAGAGGCAAGGTGCCCCTGACCCCTTTTTCCAAATATACCCCTTTGTCTCTTGTCTTTTATTCCTGCATTCACCCTGCTTTGTTCAGTCCAATAGGTCTGTGTAGGCTACAAATAGAAGTGAAAAAAAAGAAAAAAAAAAACACTTCACACAACAATATCAGAATACACACTTTTTCCAATAGGTCATGAAACATTCTCCTGAGTAGATAACCTACTAGGACACAAAACAAGTTTTACCAAATTTTAAAATGTTAAAATATGGGCTAGGCATTGTGGCTCATTCTTATAATTCCAGCATTTTGGGAGGCTGAGGTGGGAGGATTAGTGAGTTTAGGAGTTCGGCGCCAGCCTGGGCAACATAAAGAGACCCTCTCTTTAGAAAATATAAAATTTAAAAATTAGCTGGGCATAATGGCACATGCCTGTGCGTCCAGCTACTCAGGAGGCTGACGGGGGAGGATTGCTTGAGCCTGGGAGATCGAGGCTCTGGTTAGCCATGATTGAGCCGCTGTGCTCCAGCCTGAGCAACAGAGCAAAACTCTGTTTCAAAAAAAAGATTAAAATATTACAATCATTTTTTATTACAAGGGAATAAAATTAGAAATCAATAGCAGAAGAAATATGGAAAATCTACAAATATGTGGAAATTAAACAACGCACTCTTCTGCATGCTCTCGTTCAAGGGTTGGAAGACAATATTGTGAAGATGTCCACACTACCCAAAATGATCTACAGATTCAATGAGATCTCTATCAAATTTTAACTGTCATTTCACTTGGCAGAAATACAAAAAACATTTCTAAAACTTATATGGAATCTAAAGTGACTCTCAGGAGCCAAACAACCTTCAAAAAAAGAAATAATATTGGAGGCATCACACTCCTTGACTTTATAATGTATTACAAAATTACAGTAACCAAACTATTTAGTACTGACATAAAGGCAGACACACAGACAAATGGAACAGAATAGAGCACAGAAATAAACTGTCATATATATGGCCAAATGAAGAGTTATTTGTATATCCATATTCATTGCACAACATTATTCACAACAGCTGATAGGTGGAAGCAACCCAAATGTCCCTCAATGAATCAGTGAATAAAGACAAATTGGAATATACAAATAATGGAATATTATCCAGTTTTTTAAAAGCAGGAGATCTGATTATTTTTACACTAAGGATAAATCTGGAGGACATTATGTAAATAAAATAAATGAGTCATAAAAGGACACTGTGTGATTCCAGTTAAATATCTAAAATAGTTAAACTCTTAGAAACAGAAAGTAGAATAGTATCAGTCAGAGCCTCAGGGGAGGAGATAAAAGGGTAGTTGTTGTTTCATGGCTATTGAATTTTAGTTTTGCAACATAAAAACATTCTAGAGATATGTTGCATAACAATGTGAATATATTTAATATTATTTAACTATGTACTTAAAATATTTAAGATGGTAAATTTTATGTGGTTTTGACTACATTAATAGTGAAAAACTTTCTAAAGAGATACATATTTATCAATCTTTTCAAAAATTACCTTCAAATCCTAAAAATATCAGAAAAACAATAAAGAGGCCAGGTGCAGTGGCTCATCCATGTAATTGAAACACATCAGGAGGCTGAGGAGGGAGAATAGCTTAAGCCCAAAAGTTGGAGACCAGCATGGGCAGCGTAAAAAGACCTCAGCTGCAAATCACAAGCAGAAGGAAACTGGCAAATGAAAAAATATGTGAAACTTAAAACAGAACACTCTTGACTTCTTGTTCAAGGGTCAGAAAATTTAATATTATTAAGATGTCAATACTACTCACAGTGAAGCACAAATTCAAAGTATTTTCTATCAAAATCCCAATGTTACATTTTTTTCAGAAATATTAAGTCTTAAAATTCATATGGAATCTCAAGGGACAATGAGTAGCCAAAGTAGCTGTGGAGAAGAACAAAGTTAGAGGTATCACACTTCCTGATTCCAAAATATATTATAAAGCTATAGCAATACAAACAGAAAGACAAATAGATGATGGAACAGAATAGAGAACCCAGAAATAAACCTTTATGAATATCATCAAATAATCTTCAATCAGGCTGCCATGACCGAACAACAGGGAAGAACAGAATAGTGTTCTAAAATTGAGTATCAAAATGGAAGAAAATAAAATTGGACTTTTCACTTGCACCATATAGAAAACTATCTTAAACACTTAAATGTAAGTAAGATCGCTATAAAAGTCTTAAAATATAAGGTAAAAATCATGACATTTGTCTTGATAATTTTTTTAACATGACATTAAAAGCAGAAGTAACAAGAAAAAAGCAGGAAAATGGGACTACCTCAAATGTAGTAAGCTTTCTGATAAAGAGAAAACAGCTGGGCCTGGGGGACCACTACCACCAAGACGCAGAGACCAGTAGTGGCCCCGAATGGCTGGGCACGCTGATATTTATTGCATACAAGACAAGGGGGCAGGGTAAGGAGGGTGAGTCGTCCAGGTGATTGATAAAGTCAAGCAAGTCATGTGATCATGGGACAGGAGGCCCTTCCCTTTTAGGCAGCCAAAGCAGAGAGGGAAGGCAGCATACATCAGTGTTTTCTTCTATGCATTTATAAGAAAGATCAAAGACTTTAAGACTTTCACTATTCCTTCTACCGCTATCTACTAAGAACTTCAAAGAGGAACCAGGAGAATGGGAGGAACGTGAAAGTGGACAAGGAGCGTGACCACTGAAACACAGCACCACAAGGAGGGGTTTATGCCTCCGGATGACTACGGGCAGGCCTGGATAATATCCAGCCTCCCACAAGAAGCTGGTGGAGCAGAGTGTTCCCTGACTTCTCCAAGGAAAGGAGACTCCCTTTCATGGTCTGCTAAGTAACAGGTGCCTTCCCAGGCACTGGCATTACCGCTCGACCAAGGAGCCCTCAAGCGGCCCTTATGTGAGTGTGACAGAGGGCTCACCTCTTGCCTTCTAGGTCACTTCTCACAATGTCCCTTCAGCACCTGACCCTATACCCACCAGTTATTCCTTGGTTATATGAGTAATACAACAAAGAGTAATATTAAAAGCTAGTGATTAATAATGTTTATACTAATGATGGATAATGTCCATGATCATCTCTATATCTAATTTGTGTTATAACTATTCTTTATTCTAACTGTTTTCTTTATTATACTGCAACAGTTTTTACCTTCAGTCTCTTGCCTCGGCACCTAGGTAATCCTTCACACCCACATGTTTCTACAAAGGAGATATACAAACGGCCAAGAGGAATTTTAAAAGATGCTGCAAATCATGAATCTTTAGAGAAATGAAAAGCAAAACCCCAGTGAGATATTACCTCACATTCATTAGGATGGCCACTATCAAATAAGAGAAAATAACAAGTGTTTTCAAGGATGTAGAGAAATTGGTATATTTGTGCACTGGGTGGTGGAAAAAATAATCATGCAGCCATTATGAAAAATAGTACAGAGTTTCCTCAGATTATTAAAATTGGAATTATGATGTGGTCTGGCAATACCATTTCTAGATATCTATCTAAATGTGCAAAGCGGGACCTGAAAGAAACATTTACATACCCACGTTTATGACAGAATTATTCTAAAAATCCAAAAGGTAGAAGCTACTTGAATGTCCCTTGACAGATAAATAAGTAAATATGATATATACATACAATGAAATATGATTTTAAAAGGAAATCTTATCACATGCTGCAATGACAATAAACCTTTAGGGCATGATGTTAAGTGAAATGTGCCAGGAAACAAAGTGACAGTGATTGTGTGATTCCACTTATGAGATATCTTAAGTAGTCCAACTCACAGAAATGGAAAGTAAAATGTTAAGGGCTCAGGAGAGGGTAAAATGGGCAGTTGACGTATATGGGTATTGAGTTTTAGTTTTGCAATGGAAAAGCTCTAGAAGCCTGTTGCATAACAATGTGGATATATGTACCACTAATAAATTATGCAATTACAAATGTATAGACTGGTAAATTTTGTTGTGTTTTATTACAGTTAAAATATTGTAAAGTGATACATAAAAGAGATACCGAGTTACAAACTTTTTGGAAAATTACCTTCAAATTATAAATGTGTTTTCCTCACACAAAGAAAATATAGATTTGTTCAATAAATACGTGGGTAAGTTAAGACTACTTATATGACTACTGTCCTGAACAAGATAAAACAACTTTTGACACCAGCCAAGAAGAGAAATATGCAAGATAATTAAGAAGAAATAGACTATATTTATAGAGGCAAACAAACACACGATTTTATTGGTGGTAGATATGGCTGATTCATATTTTGATTAAACATCACATTGACTTAACATGTATATAGAGTTGCAGATTTACATCCAAAATCATAATACGTAGGTAAAACCAAACTCACAAAACACGAATGTCAAGGAACTTACCAAAAAAAAAAAAAAAATAGTAATATGAAATTTCAAAAAAGAATGAGAGAAACAACGAAAAAACTCCTATATAAAACATAGATTTACAACTAAGAAAGAATCCTCCTAGATAACTACAATCTTCAGCTGTGACTGTGCATCCGTGGTGAGCAGGGATTTTGAATCAAGACTGCGTTAGGAAGAGGCTCAAGGGGGCAGACAGTGCCACCTCCAGAGAAGCCACTGCTCCTACTCCTGCCTCTCCTGCTACTGCCGCCACGGTCCTCTGCTCCTGCAGCCCCCACTGGGCGCCGGATTCCTTCTTGGAGTGCGGAGGTCCTGTTCCTTCAGGAACGACAGACAGCTTTTCTCCCCGTCTCCTCGTTTGCTCAGCCGGCAGGTGCAGGACTGGAGATCTGAGGTGGTCCTGCGTCTCGAGGAGCCGGGCGCCCGACTGTGAGAAGGAGGAGGCAAGCTATGGGGAGAGGGGGCGACAGGAATGCCAGGCTCATGAGGCCGGCGGCCGCGGCCCAGGCAGGGCTGGCTGCTGCCTGGGCCGGATGGTAAGAGATACTGTGGAAAGAAAATAAAATAAAATAAGTAATAATAAAGTTTAAAATAATAAACCTAACATAGGTAATAGTTAACATTCAGCATAGGTTACTTAGAAGTTATACATAGGCTAAGAAATTTCAGCAGTCCATTCCAGCATTGCTAACAAGTTGCAGCTGCGAGCTTATCTCAATCTTCCAAGCTTATTGCCTGCCTCCAGACCCCCGCATATTCCTGTAATTCGTGTTTTCCCTTACCCCAGCTCTGTTCAGCTTCAAAGTTGACTGGACAAAATAACTAAATTGTAAGTTCTCTCCGAATTGTCACGGGTTGGATAATTTACTGTCTTTGTCTGAAACCTGTAACCTGCCTTGTTTTCCCGCCTCAAACGGCACTTAAGCAAGCCTGCTTTCTTTGCAGGGGTCGGCAGCCATTTTGGGCATGAGCCTGCTGTTGGCTCAGGTGCCTGAATTAAATAAAGTTCTCTTTGGTCTCCAAAGGTCTCTTCGTGTTCCTTGGCTGGAGTTTTACTACAACAGTATCAGATGTCGCCACCATCCCCATCCTTGGCTCCCTAGCCGTCATTCATACATCCTGTGTTCAACAAACAGAAGTGGCAGCGGGAGCTGCTGCTCCGGGAGGGGGAGTGGCCTGGCAGGGGGCACACAGCTGCTACCTGCTGCGAGGCGAGTTGGTCTGCAGCCTGGGCCTTTGTGCAGGACACATCGCCGCCCTTGTCCCGCTTGCTCCCCCGCCTGCCACGCAACATGCTCAGGTGCCAGATCTCGGGCATTCCTGGCAAGCGTACTGTGGCGGGGAGGCAGCAGGGAGGAGGGGTTTGCCAGGAGCCCTGAACAGAGGTTCTTGGCATGGAGAAGAGACAGAGGTGGCTGACTGGTTCCAGTTTTAGGTGGGTGGGGGGAGGGGGTGGCAAACCCCATGGGACTTTGTTTTTTTCAAGGAGACTTCAGTTCACTTCTTATCTGTTCTCCACCCGCTTAAGCCTCTGAGAACAGAGGAGATGGGGCTCTTTTAAATTGGCCTGGCCGTAACGGTCTGGACCCTTGCCGCAGGGCAGATCTCATTTGGGGGCTCTTTGAAGCCTGGAGGCTCACGCCTGTCCATCCCAGGTGTCTTCAATATAGGGTCAAGTTAGGCCTGGCTGGCAATGATGCTGGAATGCAGGACGATCTGGCCAGATCTTCGCCTGTTACAGGATATTTTAGCCTTCAGCACCCTGCACCATTTCCCTCACCTGCAGAAGCCCCCGTGAGCCTCAGTGTTGCTAGGGCCCAGACCCTGGATGCCTCTCTATTAGAGTCCCACTTTACCCCACCTAAATGCACCAGGCCCTTACTCTGCCTTTCCCCTTTTCCCAGAACATGCCCCATTCAACTCCAACAGGACATGTCTGGACCACGTGCACCCCTCTTCAGTGTTAAAACAGAGAAAATAATGTATTTTTCACTGAACATGTAACTGATTTAACATATAAGGAGATCAGCTTTATGTGTAGATATGCATGTAAATATACACAAAATTTCTAACGTTGTGGGAAAATTAACATCTTTACACTTTGTTCAGTGATTTTATAGTTTTCTCTCTCTTACTCACTTGCTTCTTTTTTTTTTTTTTTTGAGACAGAGTCTTGCTCTGTTGCCCAAGCTGGAGTACAGTGGCAAAATATCAACACACTGCAGCCTCTGCCTCCTGGGTTCAGAAGATTCTCAGGCTTCAGCCACCCGAATATCTGGAATTACCAGCATGAGTAACCATGCCCAGCTGTTTTTTGTGTTTTTAGTGGAGACGGGGTTTTGACATGTTGCCCAGGCTGGTCTCGAACTCCTGGCCTCAACTGATTTGCCCACCTTGGTCTCACAAAATGCTGGGATTACTGGCGTGAGCCTCTATGCCTGGCCTACTTGTCACTATCTCTATGTTTATTTGTTCAATAGGAAAATTCTCAGTGAAGACTCCTCAGCATGATGAAGATAAGCTTGCACAATCAGTCATTGATAGATGCTTAGTGGAAAAACTTCCAATTCCCATTTGCAGCTCTCAGAGCTAGGATTAAAAACTCCTGGTCATAACCTCATGTGATGAGAAGTTATAGCATGCCCTCATTTTCTACATATCCACCTGCATTTACAATTAGCTTTCAAACTTGCTAGAAGGGAAAGAAGTGGGAATGTGTCCCCCTTAGAGCTACTTTCCTCCCCTTGCTGGGTTTCCAGTTTGTGCATTGTCCAGATGGCCCAGGAGCTTATGATCAAAGTGAAGAGGTCCTGTTTGTCATGAGAATGCTGCTTTGCTGCATCAGGATTCAGTGAAACTGTTCACCGCCTGGAGCCCATGTGGACTCCAGAGGCAGGATGAAGCTCAGAAACCGTCACTGAGGTTAGGAAGTGAGCACCAAAGTTGAGGGCTGCCCACAGGAGAGGGCCAAAATGCTCCCTTTGGATTTCCAAGTGGTTGCTTCTTGCATCAGTCTTGCTTCTGACCACACTGTGTTCCTGGTCCCGTCTTCCTGGCATTTTGCTGTTTGTGTCCAAGGGAAAGAGTCCTGGATGGCAGTGCTGAGAAGGATGCCTGCCTGCTAAAGCTGATCCCCTGGTGAGCTCTGCAGCCTGTTAAGCAGAGCCTGAAATTCTTTCTCACTGAGTGGTGATTCAGACCACGGAGGGCCCTCCTCTTGTGGATCTGCATTCCGAAAAGATTGTGCCTTTTCCTGAAACTCTGGGACTTGTAGAAGATCATGCAGATGACTGGTGTGGTTGCTCCAGCAGATAGATGGCTCTTTCATGGCTTGTGCCTGTTTCTGCCACAGGTAGACCTATGTGCATGGGCTACTAAGGTGCTCCTGCTCCAGGTTGCCATTGAATCATGGCATCCTGGGACCCGTTGCCTAAGCTCCACCACTTCTGAAGGTGGGATGTGTCCTGTTGACCCAGACTCTAAAATTGTGGCTAAGGATGACCAGGCTGTGGCTGTCCCTTTAAGGCAGAACTTCCAGGCCAGTGTCTTATTTTTCTTGTCATCCTAAAGTTTTCCTTTCGACTGAGGCCAGAAACAAGTCTGTGTATGGGAGAGCCTCCCTCCTAGAGTTGGTACCATTGACATATGACTCCTAAGTGCCAGAAGAGGTTGAGAGAACTCTCCCATCTGCACAGCCAGGGTGCTATGTGCATCGTGACCCTTGGTGCCTGGCTCACACAGCCTGCAGAGGGATCCAAAAAATCACAGGTTGTGGGAGGTGAAGGAAGAGCTGGTACAAATGACAGGTGGCTGCTGACAGAATAGGAGGCAGGAAGAAGATGAGACCTGCCTGGGGTAGTGCACATGTTTTGTTCCAGCCAAACAGTCAGATGAGGTCTTGGTCTTGGACCCGCTGCCAGGGAATTCACAAGCCCGCTTCTGCTGTGGCCTGGGAGCTGAGGTCTTTGGTTCTGAAACCAAATGTAAATTTTGGACTCTGAAATGCCTGTCTGTTTAGCCAGTTTCTCTATAATGGTGATTCCAGGAAAGGAATTCTCTTGGAAAATGTTGAGGGTCCTTCTCAAAGGCTTTAATGAGTACACTGGTGTGTGATTGAGTGATGGATGTCCTTTCCTCCTGCCTTCTTATTTGACTTGCACAATAAATATTAACTATGGCAGTTACGGTCATATCTTTCTTTACAACATAAGAAACTTCAAGTCATTCATTGATGACACCAAAGCCTCATTCTCCTACATTAAACATTCTCCTACATTAAACTTCTTGAATCTTCTGTGCCAACTGTCTAGAAAACCTAAACACATGAAATACTACAAATTAGAAATAAATACCTCAATAGGCACCAATTATAAAAGCAAATCCAAGAAGGAACAGAATATATGAATACACATATAACAAGTAAAGAGATTCAATTAATTAAAAATCTTCACAAAAAGAGAAGCCCAGAGCCACATGGCTTAACTGGTAAATTCTACTAAACATTTAATGAAGAATTAATGCCAACTCTTTACAAGACCTTCCAGAAAATATGGGACAGTTATTGGGAACACTTCCCAATTTGTTCTGTGAGGCCAGTATTACCCTGATACTAAAGGCAGACAAAAGCATCAGAAGTAAATATGTGTATGGATGAATTTCCCTGATGAATACACACAGAGAAATTCTCAAAAAAGCGAAATGAATCAAGAATATATCAAAATGAATGTACACCATGACCAAATGGAATTATTTTACAGATGCAATATTGATCTATCCGATAATCAATCAGTGCCTTACACAAAGTAATAGGATAAAGGAAATTAACAGAAAGAGCCTTTCAACAGACACAGGGAGCATTTGACCAATCCAATATTCATTCACAATCTCCCTGGAAAGGAAGGGTACAAGCAAACTTCCTAAATCTGCTAAAGAGCATCAGTGAAAAACTTACACCTAACGCCATAATAGTAAAATACTGGTTGTTGTGTCTTGACATTTTAGAACAAGGCAAAAATGTTAACATCCAAAGAAATTACATGAGAGAAAAAAACAAAATCATCAATGTGGGAAAATAAGATGTTAGAATTGTCTATCATTGCAGAGGACATAAGTGAATATAAAAGTTTATAAAAAACTCATTAAAACCCACTAAAACCAATACATGAGTTCAGCAAGGTCACAAGATACAAAATCAATATGCAAAGTTCAATTGTACTTTTATGTACTAACAATGATCAACCTGAAAATAAAATTAAAAAAACAATCCATTTGTGTATGTATGAAAAAGAAAGAAATATTTAGGAGTAGATTTAATGAAGTGCAATTTTACCGTAAAAAGAAATCTTTGTTAAAAAATTTTAAAACACTGAAAAAAATAGGCATCAATGTTTATTTAGTTAATGTTATTCCATTATCCAGTGTATCCATTTAAACTCCACACAATAAAACAAAATATATTTTAGCATTATTTTAGTGTAATAAATACAGGTTTGTAGAAAACCCATGAAAGGAACTAATTCTACATGTCCAGAATAGCCCATCCTAATTTTTCTATTTTACATCTACTGTAAATCAAACCGATTTTGTTCCATATTTTATAGCGGAACGTAAGATAAAATCCAAATTGTTAAATATGTGAGATTGATTATAAGCCCACCAAGGAGGTTTTTACTCAGTGTGGGAATTC